>NT_167246.2:0-140232 GCF_000001405.40 Homo sapiens
TGGCTGTAGGAAACCAGGTCTTTCCCTCCCAAGGGAGGTGAACTACAAGCTTCTGTTCCACAGGAAAACATAACCCTTTTTGTCCAAAACTGACACCGCTTTGAGAGCGACCAGCGGCTTTTTCCATCTCTGAAAATAATTTTCTCAACTGTGTATTTTGAAAGTCTCGGAGTTTCGCCAGAAGCGTCTTTCGTTCGGAAAAAATTCTAAACATTCCTTCTTTAGAGAAAGCTGAGATCACAGCGCTCCCATGACTAATGATTGGACCCACTTTTGCCGCCCAACCAAGATTCTATGAGTGGTGGAAATGTAGGGGAGAATGAGGAAAGGTCTGTAGTCTGTCAGATATGGGTGGAGTGGGGGTGGGGGGGGGAGGAGAGAAATCTAATGGATGTTTTCCAAGGGCGATTTTTTTTTCTTCTCTTTCTGTTTTTTATTCCCCCCCGATTTCTTAATAGTAATGAGAAACGGCAGCAAAGGAGAACGAGTCTTTTTTTTTTTTTTTTTTTTTTTTGTGATGGAGTCTTGCTCAGTCGCCCAGGCTGGAGTGCAGTGGCGCGATCTCGGCTCACTGCAAGCTCAGCCTCCCGGGTTTATGCAATTCTCCTGTCTCAGCCTCTGGAGTAGCTGGGACTACAGGTGCCCGCCACCACGCCCGGCTAATTTTTTTTTTTTTTTGTATTTTTAGTAGAGATGGGGTTTCACCATGTTAGCCAGGATGGTCTAGGAGAACGAGTCTTCTATGACCGGCATGCCTGTTGCTTCACTCTCAGGGGATCTTGAATAAGCAGCTTCTCTATTTCAGTAAATAACTATAAAGCTGTGCTGAAGCAGTCAGGTTGGGAGGCTGAAGGAGTGTTAGGACCCATAGTACAAATGAATGAGTACCAAATGGCTTACCTTCGCTGTGAGTAGGAAAAACACAAGCTAGTGTATGCACAAAGAAAAAAGAAAAGACTGGAACTAAGTATTCAAAGACTGAAACGAAATGTTCAACGATAGATATAAGGAAATGTACTTGTGGAAGTGCTGGGGATCGAACCCAGAGCCTCATGAATGTTAAGCATACGCTCTACCACTGAGCTACACCCCCACTTACAATGCCGTTTTCTTACTGATTTATTATATGCTATTATCTAAAGGTGAGGGCTTAAGGCATGATAGGTTAAAGTCCGCTATGTTTTAACTCCTGTTTCTGAAACTTCTGAATGGAATCTTGTCTTGACGCTGTGTCAAGAGGAGAAAGGCATTCTGGACCGAAAGACCCTTGGATCCTCTCACAGCCGTCATCTATTTCAAGGACTGCTGTTAGCCAACTTTCTTTGTCAGTTTCCGTCCACCTGGAGCGAAGTTCCAAGATTGAATCTTCTGGTATGTCTTCAGATTCTCTCCTTTTTAAAAAAACCTCCTCTATGGAGCTGCCAACACACACACACACACACACACACGCGCGCGCGATAGTGCCAGAGAATATAAAGACGAGTTCTGTGAGTGCTGCAGAGGAAACGTAGATCCAGGTGAGGAGACAAGACAAGATGTTAATGCACAAAAGTCAACTAAAAACGAATTTAAATCTTAAACTTAAGCCCCTAAACTGTAAAATTCCTTGAAGAAAACAGGGGGGAATATTCTTGACATTGGTTTAGGCAATGGTTTCTTGAGTATGACACCAAAAGCACAGGCAACAAAAGCAAAAATGGATAAGCGAGACTATAGCAAACTAAAAAGCTTCTTCACAGGAAAGAAAACAATCAACAAAGGAAAAAGGCAAGCTATGGAATGGGAGAAAATATTTGCAAATCATTTATCTGATAAGGGGTTAATATACAAAATAAATTTTTTAAACCGCTACAAGTCAATAGCCACACACACACACACACACACACACACCCCTTAGAATCCCAAATAACCTGATTTTTAAAACGAGCATAGGACTTGAATAGACATGTCTCCAAAGAAGACATACAAATAGCCACTAGGTATGTGAAGAGGTGCTCTTAACATCACTAATCATCAAGGAAATGCAAATCAAAATCACAATAGATACCACCTCACACCTATTAGGATGTCTGTTATTAAAAAGAAAAAACTCAAAAGGTAAGTGTTAGCAAAGATGTAGAGAAATTGGAACCCTTCTACACTGTTGGTGTGTAAAATGATGACACCACTATGGAAAATAGTAAGGGGTCGCCTCAAAAGATAAAAATAGAACTACCATATGATCCAGCAATCCCACTTCTGGGTATATGTCCCCAAAAAATCGAAATTAGAATTTCAAAGAAACATATGCACTCCCATGTTCACTGCAGCATTATTTACAATAACCAAGATAAGGGAACAATCCAAGTGTCCATTGAGAGATGAGTGGACAAAGAAAATGTGGTATATACATACAATGGAATATTATTCAGCCTTTTATAAAAAAGAAATTCTGCCATTTGCACCAGCATCAATGATTAACCTGGAGGACATTATGCTAAGTGAAATAAGCCAGTCACAGAAGGACAAATATTTCATAATTCCACTTATATGAGGTATCTAAAATAGTCAAACTCATAAATGCAGAGAACAGAATGGTGATTGTCAGGGACCAGAGGCAGAGGGAAATGGGGAGTTGTTGCTCGGTGAGTTAAAATTTTAGTTATGAAACATGAATAAGTTCTAGAGATCTATTGCACAACCTAGTGCCTTCAGTTAACAATACCATAATGTACACTTAAAATTTTGTTAAAAAGATAACTCGGCCGGGAGCGGTGGCTCACGCCTGTAATCTCAGCACTTTGGGAGGCCGAGGCGGGCGGATCACGAGGTCAGGAGATCGAGACCATCCTGGCTAACGCGGTGAAACCCCGTCTCTACTAAAAATGTTTTAAAAAATTAGCCGGGCGCGGTGGCGGGCGCCTGTAGTCCCAGCTACTCGAGAGGCTGAGGCAGGAGAATGGCGTGAACCCGGAAGTCGGAGGTTGCAGTGAGCCGAGATCGCACCACTGCACTCTAGCCTGGGCGACAGGCGAGACTCAGTCTCAAAATAAAAAAAAAAAAAAAAAAGATAACTCTGATGTTTAAGTCTTCTTACCACCCATGAACATGAAAGAACACAAAGAAACTTTTGGAGTTGATAAGTGTGTTTATTACCGATTGTGGAAATAGCATTATAAATGTATGCATATGTCCTCACTCATATGCTTACCTTCAACGTGTAGGGGTTTTGCATATATCAACTGTACTTCAATAAAGTTGTTAATAACTCCTGAAAAACAACCAAACAAGCAAAGACAAGAGGTTAATTCACAACATTGACAAAAACAAAGAGTGACAAAGGTAGCAGTTTTGCACAAGGTTGCGTCCAACATCTGGATTTGGAAATGTGGCAGCGGCTTCATCGGCGACTCTACAGCTATAGGTTTTTTTGTTTTTGATTTTTTATAGAGACGGGATGGGGGAAGGGGGCGGGTCGGTCTTCTCCCTGTGTTGCCCAGGCTGGTCTTGAATTCCTGGGCTTAAGCAATACTCCCGCCTCCGCCTCCAAAAGTGCTCGGATTACTGGTGTTTGCCGCCAAGCCTGACTAGCTCTGGTTTTAAAGACAACACAAACGAAGCCGAAGACAGAGGACTCTTTCAGAGCAAATTTTTTTGAGCAAGGAGGAAAGCACAAAGGAAGCTGGTCTCAACCTGAGAAAACCAATTCACCCTTTGTAAAACCCTCCCTACACCCCCACAAGTGAGAAAATTTCATCAGTCCCTGAAGTGCAGAAAGTAGACCCTTCCCATCTGTAGCCAAAATGTGGTGCGACTGTTTAATCCAGATACGAATTTTGGAGAACATTGTAAACCCAGCAGGGGCGTAAGGGAGAGTAGGGAGAAGTTTGTCCCTAATGTACAGGTTATGTTCTTACTATACTAGAAAGGCAAGTGGCTGGGAACTGAAATGAGCTGAGGAGTGGACGCAAGGGAAGGCTTTGAAAAGGAAGGAAGGGCTCTTGGAGCCGGGAGGGATAACACTGAGTGGAGGAGAGAAGAAGCAGCGGAGAAGAAGGCAGAAGAAAAATCGGGGACGCGTCTTTAAAGACGGATAGTATTGAGACAAGCGTGGAGGAAGAAAGCAGCCAAGCGCCGCGTCTCTGCCAAGCTTTCTCTAGGCCCTGGGGAAGAGAGAAGGCTCTAGGTGAGTGGTTTCAAAGTGTATATCCCACAGAAGGGTACGGCTCGTGTTGCCCAAGATTTTGTGACTCTGAGAGTGCCTCACTGCACTGCACTCTCCATCGCAGGAAACAGGCTGAGCATTTTCGAGGGCGTGTGGTTGAGTATTCGTGGAGCAGTAGCCCCTGGTATTGGAGGTTTGAGGAAAGTGACGTTGTGTCAGTTCTCATGTGGAAGCAGCCTGCAGCTTTGATGCAGGCAGCAACTGTTTAGTTTGTGTTTCTTTTTGTTTGTTTGTTTATTTTCGCGTGTTTGGGTTTAAAATACAAGAGAAAGAATGAGGAAGAAAGGTTAAGTAGTGACTGAACGTTTTGGGTTAGAGTAGATACCCACTAAAACCATCGTACTTCTGGCTAGCTCAGCTGGAAATGCATCAGGCCACTAGTCCGGAAATTTAGGAATCACGATCCTGTTCTGATGTAGATACTTTTCATTTTCCCATACTTCTTTTTGATTCATACTCAACAGGCTACTGAACCCAGCTTTCTCCTGGAGCAACCGGGAGGGTATTTGCGGTGCGTTTTGCTGCTTATATTCTCTCTAGTCTCAGCGGAAGAGACAAGATTTGAACGGGGAAAGTCGGATTTGCAGAGAGGTATTCATTCAAGGCTCTTTTCTGCCCTACTGTCAAGTGGATGAACAAAACGCTGACTTAAGATATGAGGAGGATTGCAGTGTTGAGAGTGCAAAAAGTGTCAAGTCAAAACATGGACATATTTTGCTCATAATGTAGATAAATTATTTTGGTAGACATAAATTTTATTATTATTATTATATTTATTTATTTTTTGAGACGGACTCTCGCTCTGTCGCCCAGGCTGGACTGCAGTGGCGCGATCGCGGCTCTCTGCAACTTCCGCCTACCGGGATCAAGCGATTGTCCTGCCTCAGCCTCCCGAGTAGCTGGGAGTACAGGCGCCCGCCACCACACCCGTTTAATTTTTGTATTTTTAGTAGAGACAGGGTTTCACCATATTATTCGGGCTGGTCTCGAACTCCTGACCCCAGGTGATCCGCCCGCCTCGGTCTCCCAAAGTGCTGGGATTACAGGCGTGAGCCACAGCACCCGGCCATAAATTTATTAATATAAAAAATTATTGGTCAGGAGCAGTGGCTTACACCTCAAATCCCAGCACTTTGGGAGACCAAAGCAGGAGGATCAATTGAGTTCAGGAGTTGGAGACCAGCCTGGCTAACATAGTGAGAGCCTGTCTCTACAAAAAAATAGAAAAATTAGCCAGGTATGGTGGTGCACACCTGTGGTCCCAGCTACACCAGAGGCCAAGGCAGGAGGATTGCCTGGGCCTAGGAGTTTGAGGTAGCAGTGAGCCATGCTTGCAGTGCCACTGCACTCCAGCCTGGGTGACAGGGCGAGACCTCAACTCAAAAAATAAATAAAATAAACTTTACTTAAAAAAAATTACTGAGGGGACAGCCAGAGTGGCTCACGCCTGTAATCCTAGCATTTTCGGAGACCAAGACAAGAGAACTGAGTCCAGGAGTTTGTGCTCAAGTAATAACAATACTATCAGCACTCAATCTTGGTATCTTAAAACTTGACATTTAAATGAAATTTTAATTTGAGTCAATTAAGAATAGAATATTCCACTTTTGCATAATTAACCATGAATTCACACAACAAATCAGAATTTATTTATTTCATTTTTATTATTATTATTTTTTGAGATGGTGTCTCACTCTGCCACCCAGGCTGGGGTGCCAGTGGCGTGATCTCAGTTCACTGCAACCTCCACCTCCCGGGTTCAAGTGATTCTCGTGTCTCAGCCTCCCTAGCAGCTGGGATTACAGGCGCACGCCACCAAACCCAGCTAATTCTTGTGTTTTTAGTAGAGATGGATTTCGCCATGTTGGCCAGGCTGGTCTTGACCTCCTGACCTGAGATGATCCGCCCATCTCGGCCTCCCAAAATGCTGGGATTACAGGCATGAGCCACCATGCCCGGGCCAAATTGGAATTTAGCACCCACATTTATCTTAACTCAGTAGTTCCTAAGTAAAAGAGATTTGTAAGGCCAGGCGCGGTGGCTCACGCCTGTAATCCCAGCACTTTGGGAAGCCGAGGCGGGCGGATCACGCAGGAGATCAAGAACATCCTAGCTAACATGGTGAAACCCCGTCTCTACTAAAATTACAAAAAAATTAGCCGGGCTTGGTGGCATGCGCCTGTAGTCCCAGCTACTCAGGAGGCTGAGGCAGGAGAATCGCTTGAATCCGGGAGGCGGAGTTTGCAGTGAGCCGAGATCGCAGTTCACACCACCGCACTCCAGCCTGAGCGATAGAGCGACACTCCGTCTCAAAAAATTAAATAAATAAATAAATAAATAAGTATTTGTTTGTATGTCAATCTAGGAACAATTCACAGCCGTCTCTACTTTGAACCACCCAAAAGGCTGATTTATGTGAATTTAATTTCACTTGACAATTAATTAAACTCCTCTGCATATCCTGCCTTTTGTTTTGTTTCTTGTTTTGTTTGTTTACTAAGAGACTGCAATCTGCTTGTAGTTCACCCCTGCTCAAGCAAGACATACATTCAGTTTTGTTTTTTCAGTTGTGAGTAAATACCTCTTTTCCTCAGCAATATGTGGGTCCTGTGAGTTTCTTAGAGGGCCCTGGCTCATTTTGCTGATAGGGTTGCCAAACTCTTAGTGTGATAATAGTGCATTCTTTGACCACTTTGTTTCTAAATTCTGGCCATCCTTCAAAACTATGAGCTCGAGCGAGTGTCCCAACCACATGAGTTCCAGGTTGTTGTAATTGAGCCTTTATCAGTACATTTTGATGAAAGCTTTTCCTATTAGGATTTGGATTTGTGACCTTCAGATTTTTGTGGAAATTTATTAACAATGTTTGACTCTCGAGTTTTGAGAGCCCAAAGAAAGTTTTTGATAGAAACTTTCTTTTCTTGGTGATATACTCTCCTTGATTGTGACTTCTTCCTCTTCTTCCTCTTTTTGTTCTTTTCTTTCTCCTTCACCTTCTCCTCCTCGTTCTCCTCCTTGTTTCTGCTTTTGTTAACCAAGGTCTGGAAAGATTTTACTTTTCTGTTTACTGTTTTATTTAAGCTTGTGTTGAGAGTAATAAGGAAATCGTAGAAATCAGAGAGAATGGCATAGGCCCTGTAAGTCACCATCATCTTTAATGCGGATGTTAACCAGTACAAGAACCCCGTTAGAGTTGCATTTGCTTTCTAGGGCAAGATCTTTGCTCTAAGTTTTTTTAAACACATGGCTGTCTATCTTTAAAAAAACAAATCATTTTTATTTTATAGAGTATAATTGTCGAACAGTCTTAGCTTTACAGAAAAATTTAGAAGATATTAGAGTTCCCATATACCCTGCACCCAATACCCCTACTATTATGATAGTCCTTACTATTAAGATGGTACTTTTCTGCCGCGCGCGATGACTCACGCCTGTAATCCCAGCACTTTGGGACGTCAAGGCGGGCAGATCACCTGAGGTCAGGAGTTCGAGACCAGCCTGGCCAATATGGTGAAACCCCTTCTCTACCAACAATACAAAAATCAGCCAGGCATGGTGGCGGGCACCTGTAATCCTAGCTACTCGGGAGGCTGAGGCAGGAGAATAGCTTGAACCCTGGAGGTGGAGATTGCAATGAGCAGAGATTGTGCCACTGCACTCCAGCCAGGGCGACAAAGTGAGACTCAAAAATAAATAAATAAATAAATAAAATGCCGGGCACGGTGGTTCACGCCTGTAATCCCAGCACTTTGGGAGGCCGAGGCGGGCGGATCACCTGAGGTCAGGAGTTTGAGACCAACCTGGCCAACATGATGAAACCTCGTCTCTACTAAAAAAACACAAAAATTAGCCGGGCGTGATGGCGGGCGCCTGTAATCCCAGCTACTCGGGAGGCTGAGGCAGGAGAATCGCTTTACCCGGAGAGGCGGAGTTTTCAGTGAGCCGAGATCGTGCCACTGCACTCCTGCCTGGGTGACAGAGCGAGACTCCGTCTCAAAAAAAAAAAAAAAAAAAAAAAAAAAAAAAAAGAAAAGGGTGATTTTGTGTTGTGTTTGTTAAATTCATGAAACAAGTAGGACAAGACCATAAATTGAAAAACCAAGCCCATTCCAAATTACGAATGCCTCCGGTAGTACCTATGCCAGGGACAAAGTGCACTTTAATAGTCAATACACAGGTTGCTTACCGGGTTCTTGTTTTTTTTGTCAATAGTCTTCTTTCATTTCAAGTTCCCAAAGTCTTGGGAACAAGCCGGTTTTTTTTTTTTAACTGGCTTGCAGAAAGCTCAAGGAGATGTGCAGAAAGTAAAGATATTTCCTGACAATAGTAAGAACACGACCACGAAGGGACTCGAACCCTCAATCTTCTGATCCGGAATCAGACGCCTTATCCATTAGGCCACGCGGCCGCACGCGGGTGCTAATTTGCACACATCAAGACTGAAGTGTAGTGAGGAAACGTTGAGTTTCTGTTTTCAAACCTTTAACTTCGTAATTAGAGATTTAACAACTTGAAGGGGGGCGGGGAGAGGCGGGGGAGGAGGTGGGCAGAAGGAATAAAACTCCATCTAAAATTCCTAATAGCAATTCCTTAGAATTATAAACTGCGAGATGATCAGAAGTGACATCTTTGCCTTCTTTGAAGGCTCTCTTCTCTAAGTTACTAATAATGATAATGCACGTTCGGGTACAGAAATATGAGCCAAGAACTCAAGTCTGCAATGAAGGAGTGGACATGACAGCGTAAGAGGGAGCATCATTGTTTGATCTATTTTAACCTTTTCCGTCTCAAAGATACGATGGTGCTTCCTCCAGGAAGAAAAGCCTGTAAGCTCAAACAAGAGCTCCCCTGGAACAGAAGACACTGGAGACCGTAAGAGGTGGGAGGTTGGAAGGGGGAAAAGGATAGAAAAACTGCCTGTTGGGTATTATGCTCACCACATGGGTGACGGGTTCAATCGTACTCCAGACATCAGCAACACGCAATACACCCTTGTCCCAAACCTGCACTGTACTCCCTGAATCTAAAATAAAAGTTGAAATTAAAAAAAAAAAAAAAGCTCCCCCTTGTCAGAAAAGCCCCAAGTATTTTGCCTAAAGGTTGATTGCTCTAAGCTCACCTTTGGATTGATCCAGAAAACAGTCTGGGGCGATTTTTTGTTACCCTTTCCCCAGCTATGTCCCCTATGTTGATAGGGTAGGAAAGATTAAAAAAAAAAACAACAACCAAGTTTGTAAAGTAAACCAATCACAGATTCCCTCAGTTTTCGCATCGTCTTGGCTTCATGGAAATGACGAGTTACTGGGAAGAAACTATTTCATTTTTCCAGTGCCCAGTCCTATCTCCTTTCCCCAGAGAGATGCATCTCTCAGCCCTAAACTTTTCCTGGATCCCTTGTACACCATTTTCTCCAGGTTTCTCCAGTCAAAACTCAAGAATTGTTTTAGGCCATATTTTGGATGGTGTATCCTATGTACACTAATTTATTAAGTAATGACCCATGTTTGAGACCACGGAACGCTAGTTCTGGGGCCGGACTAGATGAGTCTGGGTAGACAAAAGAAAGGTCTTCTGCTGTTCCCTATGAAACTGATTTAGTTAAGTCCCTTTCTTTCTCAGAAAGCGTCCTATGAGGAGCATTAGATTGAATAAGGGTTTCTGGTGTGATCCAGTTTGGGGAGGCTACTTGCTCTAGTCAGTGCTGAAGAATCCATCTCCATTTTGGGCAAGATGCACTACCATGACTTATGTTTCAACAGACTCAAACTTATTCACATGTTTTGAAATTGTTCTCAGTTTTGCTTCCTCACCTTCTCACTAGTGGATTTTGTGCCCAAAGAATAGCAATCCAAAATCTCAAAATCTAACAAATTTAAATAAAAGGGCATTTTTTGTTCAGTCTGGAGGAGGAAAAGTTAACTGGCAGACGTAGGCAGCAGATAGTAAAGTTGGCACAGTTAGTAAGGTTGGTAGACTGAGCCAAACCATCGAAATCTATTTATTTATTGTTATATTTATTTATTTATTTATTTATTCCTGCTGTTTGCAGAGCAGGGGTACCCTATAGAAAGTGTGTCCAAAGTAGCCTGAAATTTCTTTCTTCAGGAAGATGCTAAAAAGGATTGGCACTGAGATTTGAAAGAATAATGCTAAGAAACTATTAAATTGTATGAAATGTTTGTTTATACCAGTGATACCATTTCCTTTCCAAAGCCTTTCAGTGTTTTCTCTGATGCCTTTTGATTTTTATCTGATGGGTTCCAGGCAAGATTCCTTTAAAATGTTTAAATATTTCTAACAAAAGTATTTTGGGAGGAATCCAAGAGAGATTTGAAAGTATGACATTCTTAATCTCTCTATAACAATCTGTCTAGATAATTTCACTGAAGAAATGAATGGAGGAGGGTGTCTGTAGATAAAGGTTTCTATAATTGAGATTTGAAAAAAATAGAATTTATTTATTTGTTTAGATGAAACCAGACAACTTTCCAAGCCCTGAATCAAATTGGGGGATGTATTGCACCTTTAGACAAAGAATCTCCCAATGTAGCTACTTTAGCCATTTTACAAAAACCCATAATGCATGACCCTAATAATGTTCTTAACTTTAGAATTTGGAAAACTCAGCATTTCCTGTGAGGTGTGATCCAGTGTACAACAAACGTTCACTCACACACACAGAAAGAACTAAGATTTGCAGCACTTATGGTCTGGTTATTGACCTGACGTGTGTGTGTGTGTGTGTGTGTGTGTGTGTGTGTGTGTGTGTGTATGTGTGTGTGTGTTGGGGATGGGGGCTACTGTGAAAGGAAAGGATAAAGAAAACTCAGCCAAGTAAAGATTTTCTACTCACATATCTATTTACCATTCTTTTGTCTATATGTCTTTTAAAAGAAGACATACAAATGGCAAATATATGAAAAGGTGCTCAACACCATTGATCATCAAATAAATGCAAATCAAAACTAAAATGAAATGTTATCTCACCCAAGTTAAAATGACTTTCATCCAAAAGACAGGCAAGGACGTGGAGAAAGGAGAACCCTAGTACACTCTTGGTGGGAATTTAAATTAGTACAACCGCTTTGGAGAATAGTATGGAGGTTCCTCAGAAAACTAAAAATATTACCATATATTCCAGCAATCCCCCTATTAGGCCTATACCCAAAAGAAAGGAAATTAGTATATCGAAAAGATATCTACACTGTCATCTTTATTGCAGCACTATTCACAATAGCCAAGATTGGGAAGCATCCTAAGTACCCATCAACAGATAAATGAATAAAGTAAATGTGGTACGTATACACAACGGGGTACTATTCGGCCATGAAAAGAATGAGGTCTTGTCATTTGCAAAGCGGATGGAACTATGTTCTGTGCGGGAAATGCGAGAGGGGAGAAGAAAAGACACACACACAATACCTTTAAGGGTAAATAACCTTTATCCCACGTAAACGGCAATGCAGATATAATAAACAAATGATACAATAAGCAAATTGCAATGGGAAGGGGAGAAGGGAAAAGATATATATATATATATATATACACACACTCACCAAATATATATATATATATATAAATATATATATTTATATATATGTACACTCACAAGACTATGAAGGATTCATCACCACACCGGGAAGCAACAGCCCCGGCTCCAGAGTCGGCCACTCGTCCATGCACAGAGAAGGAGAGGTCTCATGAAGCTCACGAGAGCCCTTCGCGACTGAGCTCAAGGAACAAGAAAAGGTCAACTTGTTTTTGCGATTGTCTGTTGTTTTTCAATAACTAACGTATAGGAATAGATTGAAATAGAGATTTCTCCAAAACAGCACTGGATGAACACCTCAAGGGGTTCATACAACCTGTTCAGGATTTGGTGACCATTGTTTGTGTCCACGTTCAATTGAGTTCAAATTTAATACGTAACTTTTCCTCCACAAACTAGAGGACATTAAGTTAAGCTATACACAGAAAGTAAAACTTCACATATTCTCTCTCATTTGTGGAAGCCAAAAATAAAACAATTGAACTCATGGAGACAGAGAGTAGAATGATGGTTACCAGATGCTGGGAAGGGTATTGGAGGGGGCAGTGAGATGGTTAATGGATACAAAAATATAGTTAGCATGAATAAGATCTATCATTTGATAGCACAACAGGGTGATTATAGTCAACAAAAATGTATTGTACATTTAAAAATAACTTAAAGATTATAACTGGAATGTCTGTAACAAAGAAATGATAAGGTGTTGAGGCGATGGATGAGGTGATGGATGCTTCGTTTATCCCAATATGATTATTACACATTGTATGCCTGCATCAAAATATCCCATGTATCATATATATACATATATATACTATGCAGCAGTAAAAATTAAAAATTAAAAAAAAGATCCATAGACGAAGAAAAAATATCTTCAAAAATAAAACAAGAAAAAAACAAAGAAAAGATCCATTATTAATTACTGCCTTTGTCTGTCTGTGTTTGGAGAACGAATATCTGGCAGAAAAATGCTTGCTGTGTTTAACATCACTATTTCTAAAACCTTTAGACTGTGACCAGCAAAAGCGGCACTAAATACTAAACCAAAAGACACTGTTACACGCGGTTTTCCTCTCTGGCCAGCCAGACCGCCGGTCTGAGGTCCACTTGCCAAAGTGATGCCTGGCTGGCAGTTTCATCCACCAACAGAAAGGGGTCCATTATGGAATGTTCTCTTGCATCTTCAAATTCTTCCTCCTTCGTCTCTCTTACCCTCTGCCTACAAAGGCTTCAAGAAAGAGATGCAAGACAATACTGAGGGATACGAACAAAAGTAGCTCCACAGTTGCCTCGAGAAGTTTAGGTTGCAGGTAATTGGCGAGAATGAAACCCTCTGTATCTAGCAACTCCGCAGTGCTTTGTGTAGAAGACGCTCCATCTCAGGTTACGAAAATCTACAGAAAGGAAATGTTTAAAAAGAGAAAAGGAAAATATTCCTAGGGATTATAATGTCTCTCTTAAGCAGGGTCTTCGAAAAGAGGATAATTCAAGTAATATGATTTACAAATTGCAACATGAAACAAAATGAACTGAACAAATGGAGAAATCTAGATTACATACTCCGTGGGTTGCGTCTACCCAGGGCCTGGATAGCTCAGTTGGTAGAACATCAGACTTTTAATCTGACGGTGCAGGGTTCAAGTCCCTGTTCAGGCGAAATATTTGTGTGTTTTACTCTAGCTCCGGAGTCCCCAACCTCCAGTAAACGTAACCGCGTATCAGGCAGCGCGGCAGGCGAGCCAGAGAAGTTTCATCTGTCCTTATACAGCAACTCCCCAACGCTCCTGCGACCGCCTGAGCTACTCTTCCTCCCAGATAAGCGGGGGCGTCAGATTCTCACAGAAGTCCAAACCCTATTGTGAACTGCGTATGAAAGGGATCTAGATTGTGGGCTCCTTATGAGAATCTAATGCTTGATAATCCGTCACTGTTTTCCATCAGTGCCAGATGGGACTGTCTAGTTGCAGGAAAACAAACTCAAGGCTTCCAGTGATTCTACATTATGGTGAGTTGGATACTTATTTCATTATATATTACAATATAATAACAATATTAAAAAAGTGCACAATAAATCTAATGTGCTTGAATCATCCCAAAATCATCCCCCCCAACCCCTGCTCCCTCATCCATGGAAAAAACTGTCTTTCATGAAACGGTCTCTGGTGCCAAAAAGGTGGGGAACTGCCGCCCAAGATAGTTTATACCAATTAAGCACAGGAAGAAGTTCAGATACTTGTTTGTACAGTGACTAAAACTTTGCTACTTTATGCTTTACAAATGTGGAATGATTTACATCATGAAATTACCAGCCCTAAGGGATTGCCTTAGTGAAGTTGTTTTCCAAACACCAGAATACAGAAATCTAAACTATTTTAGAGACTGTTGACCTGGAGATTTGCATTTTTACATATTTTTTAGAGAATCTCCTTCAACGGTTAACTGAAAACAAAATCAATCAAAATTTCTAAACTCTAAAAACAGAGAAAGAGATATTGAAAGCAAGAAAAGAGACAAAACACCTTACCTACAGAGAAAACCAATTTGCATAACAGTGGGTATCTTATCAGAAATCACAGAAGTCAGAAAGAGTGGCACAACAGTTTTCAAGGACCGAAAGAAAAGAATTGTTAATTCTGAATTCTATATCCACAGAAAATATCCTTTAGAACTGAAGAAGAAATCAAGACATTTTCAGAGCAAAGAAAACTAAGATAATTAGCTTCTAGCAGAATTATCCTTTAAAAAATAGTTAAATTTCTCCAGATGGAAAGAAATGATAAAAGAAGAAATAATTGACACCAGGAAAGAAGAAAGAACATGGTAAGCAAAAAAAAAAAAGGTAAAAACAATACATTTTCCTTTTCCTCTTGAGCTTTCTAAATTATGTTTAACAGTTGAAGCAAAAAGTGTAACATGACCGGGCACGGTGGCTCAGGCATGTAATCCTACCACTTTGGGAGGCCAAGGTGGGCAGATCATGAGATGAGGAGATCAAGACCAGCCTGACTAACATGGTGAAACCCCGTCTCTACTAAAAATACAAAAAATTAGCTGGGCATGGTGGCACACACCTGTAGTCCCAGCTACTCGAGAGGCTGAGGAGGGAGAATCACTTGAACCAGGGAAACGGAGGTTGCAGCGAGCCAAGATCACGCCACTACACTCAGGCCTGGGCAACAGAGTGAGACAATGTCTCAAAAAAAAAAAAAAAAAAAAGAAAGAAAGAAAAAAGTATAACATGGTTCGATGTGGTTCGAAATGTATGTAGAAGAAATAATTTAAGACAATTATATTACAAGTAGGAGAGGCAAAGTGACAAAAAGGTAAAGATGACACACATCACTTTAACTGATAAAATAATGATACCAGTACACAGTGATAAATTAAATAAATATGTAATACTCAGACAAATCACTAAAAGAGTTATATAAAGAGATCATTTAAAAACACTACAGATAGGCTGGGCACAGTGGCTCACACCTGTAATGCCAGCACTTTGGGAGGCTGAGGGGGATCACCTGTGGTCAGGAATTCGAGACCAGCCTGGCCAACATGGTGAAACCCTGTCTCTACTAAAACTACAAAAATTAGCTGGGCATGGTGGCGCATGCCTGTAATCCCAGCTACTTGGGAGGCTGAGGCAGGAGAAAAAAAAAATCAAAAAAACAAAACCACACACACACAAAAACGCTACAGATAAATGACAATGAAATTCTAAAAAAGTATACTAGTAGTCCACAAAGAAGGCTTTAATAAATAAATACATACATACATACATATCCCCAGAAAATGGCAGTAACAGGGTACAAATAGAAAACAAACTGCTAGATTTCAGCCCTAACATATCAATAATTACATTAAATGTAAATGGTCGAAAGGTACCAATTAAAAGACAGAGATTAACAGAGTAGATTAGAAAATATAATCCAACTACATGCTGTCTACAAGAAACTTATTTCAAATATAATTATACATACAGGTTGAAATTAAGCATATAAAAATATATAACATTCAAATGTTAATTAAAAGAAAGCAAAAGTGAGTATATTAATATAATATGAACTTTATTTATTTATCTTTTTTCTTTGAGATGGAGTTTCACTCTTGTCACTCAGACTGGAGTGCAATGGCGCGATCTCTGCTCACTGCAACCTCTGCCTCCAGGGTTCCAGTGATTCTCTTGCCTCAGCCTCCCAAGCAGCTGGAATTACAGGCACGTACCACCATGACTGGCTAATTTTTGTATTTTTAGTAGAGATGGGGTTTCACTATGTTGGTCAGGCTGGTCTCAAACTCCTGACCTCAGGTGATCTACCCACCTCAGCATCCCACGGTGCTGGGATTACAGGCGTGAGCTACCACGTCTGGCCTAATATAAGCTTTAGAACAAAGAAAAATTTTAAAAATCCACCAAGAAGGCATAACAATCCTAAATATGTATAAACCAAACAGAGTTGAAAATATGTAAAGAAAAAAAGAATTTTTAAAAAATAGACAAATCCACAATTACATTAGAGACTTCAACACTTCTCTCATAATAATCGATAGAACAACTAAACAGAAAATCAGCAAGGATGTTGAAGAACTCAAAATCATCTTCAGCTAACAGAATTCAGTCAACATTTAAAGAAGACTCCACACAAGAAAAGCAGAACACACAGAACACAGGTCAAGATGGAACATATTCTGGGCCATAAAACAAACCTCAAATTTAAAAGAATTAACTCACACAGTATGATCCCTGACCACAATGAAATCAAACTAAAAGTCAATCACAGAAAGACAACAGAAGAACATCCAAACACTTGGAAAATGAACAACACACTACTAAATAGTACACAGGACAAAGAGAAAGACTTAGTAGATATCAAAAAATAAATTAACCTGAATAAAAATGAAAGCACAATATACCAAAATTTTCAAGACAACCTAAAAAAACACTGAGAGAGAAATGTATACCACTAACTGCATACATTAGAAAAAGAAAAAAGTCTCAAGTCAGTCATCTAAACTTTTATTTGAAGAACCCAGGTGGGGAAAAAAGCAAAATAAACCCAAAGCAAATAGACAAAAGATAACAATAAAAATAAGAACAAAATTCAGTGAAACGGAACACAAACAAAAAAAGAAAAACAAACAAAAAGCTAGTTCCTTTAGATCAATAAAAGAAGACCTCTAGTAAGACAGAAATTTTAGGAAGAGAGATGACACAAATTACCAATATCAGGAATAAAAAGAGGATATCACTGTAGACTCTGCTGACATCAAAAGGATATGTTTTTGGATGATTTCCTTTAAAAAATTTAGCCGGGCTCGGTGGCTCACACCTGTAATCCCAGCATTTAAAAAATAACTAGCCATGCATGGTGGCGGGTGCCTGTAATCCCAGCTACTCGGGAGACAGGTAGGAGAATCGCTTGAACCGGGAGGTGGAGGGTGCAATGGGCCGAGATAGCACCATTTCACTCCAGCCTGGGCAACAAGAGCGAAACTCCGTCGCAGACTTTTTCTCCCCCTTGTAAGGTCGGAGCGTTCCCACTCAGGAAACAACATTTCTCTACTCTAGGTTTATCTGGCCTCGCATCTCTCCCCAGCTGGGCCCAGCCTCAGCCTATGCTGCAGAAATGTTTAAAGTCAAGCATGTAGAGAAGGAAAAAAAAAAGGAAAGTGATGTGGAAATTAAAATAGCAGCTGCATAGGAATCTCAACATAGTGCTTAAAATGTGCATAAACGAGACTAGGAGTGCCCTGCGCTTTTGTGAAAACTTCATTTAGAAATAAATGAGAAAGAAGGTGGAGAGGAGCCGAGAACCAGCAGGTGGGGAAAGGGAAGAGGCAGGCTAGAGTTAAAAAATGAAGGAGGAAAAGCATCCTCAAGATTATTCAGAATATATATATATATAATATACATAGTATATACTAATAATATATAAGGATATATTATATCCTAATAATATAAGTAAATAATAATATATAACTTGTTAAATAATCATATAAATAAATATATTTTATAATTATGTTATTTATTATATAATATTAACATAACATATTATCAATATAATATTTTATATAACATATGTAGTATGATATATCCTAATATATAAAAATAATATTAGGATAAGGGAATACTATTGTGGTGGTAAACTGAGGAACGGAAAGACTGATACAGGAGAACAGGAGGATATTTATTTTAAGGTAAGCAGCCACTGAGTGGATTCACATCCAAAAAGTTGAGCACTGGCCGGGCCTGGTGGCTCACGCCCATAATCCCAGCACTTTGAGAGGCCAAGGCTGGCAGATTACCTGAGGTCAGGAGTTCGAGACCAGCCTGGCCAACGTGGTGAAACCCCGTCTCTACTAAAAATACAAAAATTAGCCAGGCGTGGTTGCACATGCTTGTAATCCCAGCTACTCGGGAGGCTGAGGCAGAATTGCTTGAGCCCAGGAGGCGGAGGTGACATTGAGCCAATATCGTGCCACTGCACTCCAGCCTGGCCGACAGAGCAAGACTCTGTCTCAAAACAAAACAAACAAACAAAAAATGCTGAGCGTTGAACAAAGACAGAGCAGGAGTTTTTATAAGCAAAACAAAGGCAGTTAATCATACAGTGCTTAATTTGTGGCCTTGCAGCTGCGTCAAAAGAAAAACAAGAACTGACTAAATACAGACATTTGTAAAAACAGTTATGCTTAAGAAGCCAGGGAAAGGAGTAACAGTATAGGAATTTGCCTTTCCTTTTTTTCCCTTCAACCTTGTTCTTGGGTGGGGTGGGAGAAGGGCGTGTCTGGAAGCCGTTCCTTTGGCCTTGGCTTTTCGGAAAGTGTTATCTTGTAACTGTCCTTGAAGTGAGCTGCTAGGCAAACGAAAACTTGTTTCTTTTCTTTTTAACCCTTTCCTGTTACTTTTCTTGGAGTGAATGAATGCATATTTATTTTTAAATTTCTGCCTTACTATGAATAACTCTTTACACACAAACTTGACAATTTAGATGAGATAGACTAATTCCTTGAAAAACACAAATTAACACAACTAACTCAATATGTAATACATTTTTTATAACCCTGTAACTATTAAGGGAATTAAATTTGTAACATAATTTAAAAAAAAAATCAAGAATCTGGCCGGGCGTGGTGGCTCATGGCTGTAATCCCAGCACTTTGGGAGGCCAAGGCGGGCTGATCACCTGAGGTCAGAAGTTCGAGACCAGCCTGGCTAACATGCTGAAACCCCGTCTCTACTAAAGATACAAAAATTAGCCGGATGTGGTGGCAGGCACCTGTAATCCCAGCTACTTGGGAGGCTGAGGCAGGAGAATCGTTTGAACCTGGGAGGCAGAGGTTGCAGTGAGCCAAGATCGCACCATTGCACTCCAGCCTGGAGGCCAAGAGCAAGACTTCGTTTAAAAAAAAAAAATCAGGAATCTTCGAATCCAAGAAAATTTCACTGAAGAATTCTAAGAAGTTCTTAAGGAGGCCAGGGGCGGTGGCTCATGCCTGTAATCCCAGCACTTTGGGAGGCCGAGGTGGGCGAATCATGAGGTCAGAAGACCGAGACCATCCTGGCTAACACGGTGAAACCCCGTCTCTACTGAAAAAACAAAAAATTAGCTGGGCGTGGTGGCAGGGAGCCTGTAGTCCCAACTACTCGCTGGAGAATGGCGTGAACCCGGGAGGCGGAGCTTGCAGTGACACTCCAACCTGGGCGACAGAGCGCGACTCCGTCTCAAAAAAAAAAAAAATGGTTAAAGAATTAAAACAAGGTCTACACAATCTATTCTGAAAAAAACAGAAGAGGACAAAAAACTTTCCATTTATTTATGAAGTTAATAGTATCCTGATGCTAAAACCAGGTAAATACAGTACAAAATAATGAGTATTGGTGCATAAATACTTACCAAAATATTATCAAATAGAATTCAGGAATATATAAGAAGCATTATACACCATGATCAAGTGGGGTTTATTCCAGAGACGTAAGACTAGGTAAATTTAGAAACAATCACTGCAATCCACCATATTAACAGGCTAAAAAATAAAATCACGTGATCATATCACAGTAGAAAAAGAATTTGTCAAACTTCAATAGCTACTCATGACAAAAAGTCTCAGAAAAATAGGAATAGAGAACAGCTAACACTGTACATCACGGTAAAAGACAGAATGTGTATTAGTCCGTTTTCACACTGCTATGAAGACACTACCTGAGACTGGGTAATTTTTTTTTTTTTTTAAGATGGAGTCTTGCTCTGTCGCCCAGGCTGGAGGGCAGTGGCCTCCTCTCGGCTCATTTCAACCTCCGCCTCCTGGGTTCAAGCAATTCTTCTGCCTCAGTCTCCCGAGTGGCTGGGACTACAGGCGCAGGCCACCATGCCCGGCTAATTTTTGTATTTTTAGTAGAGACAGGGTTTCACCGTATTGGTCAGGCTGGTCTGGAACTCCTGAACTCATGATCCGCCCGCCTCTGCCTCCCAAAGTGCTGGGATTCCCGGCGTGAGCCACTGTGTCTGGGTAATTGATAAAGGAAATAGGTTTAATTGAGTCACATAGCTGAGGAGGCTTCGGGAAACTTACAATCATGGCGGAAGGGAAATGGGAAGCAAGGACCTTCTTTACATGACAGCAGAAGAAAGAAGTATGAGCAAAAGAGGAACTTGCCAAACACTTATGAAACCATCAGATCTCATGAGAACTCACTCACTATCACCAGAACAGCATGGGGGAAGCCACCCCCATGATCCAACTACCTCCCACCAGGTTTCTCCCACAAAGTCAAAGGAATTAGAATAATTATTTAAAATCTAGGAGGGAAAAACAGTCTACCTGATTTCAAGACTATTTCATTACATTGTTGTATTCTTGTATTATTGTATTATTACTACAGTAATTAAGACTGTATAGTATTGGCAAGGAGATAGGCACGTGGTTAATAGAGAGAATGGAAAAATAAACCTACACAAATATTCTCAACTGGTTTTTGACAAAGTTGCCTAAGTAGTAATTCCATGGAAGAAAAATAAGTCTCATGCCTTCACAAAAGTGAACTTAAAATGGATCGCAGATATGAATATAAAATGTAAAACTATAAAACTTTGAGGAAAATATATGGAAGATAATATTTCCAATCTAGGGCTAGACAAATAATTTTACAGTTGACAGTGAAACATGATCCAGAGATCTTGTAAAAGCTGGTTCTTTTTTCCTCCTTTCCTCTCCTGCTATGTCAGTTGCTTTGGCTGGTACAGAGGCTGACCAAATAGAAATAGAAATAAGAGAGCAGTAAAGGCAATGAATTGGGTCATGTTTTTACTTTTTATGTGACAAAGAAATGACAGAATTGGTGGCCAGGTGCAGTGGCTCATGCCTGTAATCCCAGCACTTTGGGAGGCCAAGGAGGGCAGATCACCTGAGGTCAGGAATTCAAGACCAGCCTGGTCAACATGGTGAAACCCCACCTCTACTAAAAATTAGCTGGGCATGGTGACGCGCACCTGAAATCCCAGCTACTTGGGAGGCTGAGTCAGGAGAATCACCTGAACCCAGGAGGCAGAGGCTGCAGTGAGCCAAGATCACGCCACTGCGCTCCAGCCTGGGTGATAGAGTGAGACCCTGTCTCAAAAAAAAAAGAAAAGAAAAGAAAAGAAAGAAATGAGAGAAAAGGAAAGAAAAGGAGAAAGAGAGAAAGAAAGAAAGAAAAAGAAAGAAAGAAAGAAAGAAAGAAAGAAAGAAAGAAAGAAAGAAAAGAAAGAAAGGAAAAAGAGAAAGAAAGAGAAGGGAGGGTAGAATGATAAGAAAGGAAAGAAATAAAGAAAATTGGCTCAAAAGAGTCTCCTGGCTGACAAGAACTCTGGTGAGTTCTTCTACAGGAAAATCAGTCTCTTGTGTGTGACTACCAAAATCATCTAAAATGTTGACGGTGTCAAAGAGATAATAAATGCATCCCCACCCCTGATGTAAGGCAAATACAAACCTCACTGGCTTTCCTAGGTGGTTTGAGTTTTTGATTGAGAATAGGCAGGGAACCCCGGGAACAGCTCTTCCTCCTCAGCAGGCGCCTGGCCCTGGACCACCTTCTTAAACCTCTAGAACAGTGCTTCTCAAACTTTAGCATCAGCGGCTGGGCGGGTGGCTCACTCCAGTAATCCCAGCACTTTGGGAGGCCGAGGCGGGCGGATCACGGGGTCAAGAGTTCGAGACAAGCCTGACCAACATAGTGAAACCCCGTCTCGACTAAAAATACAAAAATTAGCTGGGCATAGCGGCGCGCGCCTGTAATCCCAGCTACTTGGGAGGTTGGGGCAGAAGAATCGCTTGAACCCGGGAGGCAGAGATTGCAGTGAGCCGAGGTTGCACCACTGCATTCCAGCCTGGGCGAGAGGGCGAGACTCCGTCTCAAAAAACAAAACAAAACAACTTTAACATCAGAGTCACTTGAGGGCTTATTCAAACACAGGCGGCTGGACGCCACCCTCAGCAATTCTGACTCAATAGATCTGAGGTTGGGCCTGGAATTTGGCATTCCTCTTGTAGCACCCTGATCCCTCACCCCTTATTCTCCTGTGCAGTGTCCACTGTGACTAACATGCCACTATTTGCTTAAAGTGCCTGGAGAGAACCAGTGGATAGAAGGGAAAACAAGTATGAAACGAAAAGAAAATGTCTGCATTACCTTCCTTCAAACAAAAAAAAAATGTATCTTATAACGAACATATGGTTTGTCCCTGGGGCACACAACCAGTCTTCAGCTAAGCAGGTTTCACTAGACAATATCTCTCCTGTAGGCTGGTTATGGATATTTTCACTGAACAAAAGAATCGAGAAGTAAGGACAGCCTACCCTGACAGAGTGTTAGACTGGTGGACTGATGACAAACATCGTACTCTGTTGCCTCTCAAAGACACTTTTGATTCAACGGCAAACATATACACAGAGGACAGCAGTTTTGAAACATGCAGCATTGGAAACCCCTAAAAGGTGTCATCAGTAGATAGGATTTCCTGGAGTTCCCTCGTCATACAAAGCAGATGTGATAGGATTGACAAAGAAAAAAGAATTTTTTTTTTTTAATTAGAAGTGCCAACACACCTGCAATTTACTCACCTTTACTTTGCATCTATTTTCCATTGTGGCAGAAAAGCTTTCTCTACTTTTTCATATGGGGCCTCTGTTTGCTGTTAACAGAGGTTTCCAGGCAATGTTTTATGTTATGTTATATTTTATTTTATTTTGAGACGGAGGTTCTCTCTTGCTGCCCAGGTTGGAGTGCAATGGTGGGATCTCAGCAAACTGCAACCTCCGCCTCCCGGGTTCAAACGATTCTCCTGACTCAGCCTTTTGAGTAGCTGGGATTACAGGCGTGCGTCACCACGCCCGGCTAATTTTGTATTTTTAATAGAGACGGAGTTTCTCCATGTTAGTCAGGCTGGTCTCGAACTCCCGACCTCAGGTGATCGCCCCGCCTCGGCCTTCCAAAGTGCTGGGATTACAGACGTGAGCCACCGCGCCCGGACCTCAGTGTTTTATTTTAACGAGGAGAATGGAGTGACTGATGCAATACAGGAAAATGAATCAATCGTATGGACTATCAGTAGGGAATGTGTTGATCCTTATTGATTTCGCTCCTTCCGTGTTGAAGACCTCTAATTCCCCGACAGTCTTCGTTCGGTTGTCCAGCGTCCTGCCACTCTCATCTCAAGCGGCTGGAGAGCCACATTTTCTCAGCTTTGGATCGCACTTGTGGCTGTGCTCTCTGCGCAGTTCGACAGGGAGAGAAATCAGTGGACAGATGCTTTGACTCTGGATTTGGCTCAGAAAACAAAAACAACGACCAAAACGAAATGCCCGGGGGGCGGGGGGGGGCTTTTCTGCCTTTCTTCTTCTCAGCCTTTCCTTCTCTTTAATCATAGTACAAAACCGAAGCCAAAGTGAGCCGCCTGTTGATGTGCACGCTTTTGTTTGCTTTCAAGAGACCCTGTTGCGACCTCATTCTTCTTTCTCCTCTTCCTTCTGCCGTCGCAATCGCCTTAGGTGATGTTGAGGCTTACATTATAGAGATGGGAGATAAGTGAAGGCAATCCATTGGGTTACGTTTTTACTCTCTATACGTGCAGAAATAGGATAGAAAAAGGTGAGGAGGCAGAAGGCTATGTTGCTTGAGAATTACATTTAAGCACTGCCAGAGCAAAACCACCATTTGGAGGTGCCGGGGATCGAACCCGGGGCCTCACACATGCAAAGCATGTGCTCTACCACTGAGCTACACCCCCCTCCTGAAAGACTGTTTTGTAATAATTTTCAGGAGGTAACTTTCATTTTCTGAGACTGGCTCCGTGAGCATGCTGGTAGTAGTGGTTAGTATCATGGAGCGCCTTCAGCTGCTCTGAGTAGAAGATACTCGGTACTAATGAGGGGATACAGATTCTTTAGTATACTGTACAGGACTTGAAATGGAAAGCAAAGTATTAGAAAAGTGTCAGATAACCGCCAAAAGAAGTTTCCAATGTGGCTTTAAAACGTTGAGTTGTCAGGATCTCCTTCTTCTGTTATGCTTGGCAAGGAATCAAATTCTGGTTTTTCATTCTTTCGATTTCTTTCAGAGATGACGCAAAGTTATTGAAATTCAGCTTTTTCTTACCTAAAATGCTTCATATTTGTTGTTTACTCAGCCGGAATATTAAAGGTTAGATTTGATTGAGGAAAATCACAGTCAGAAGAAAACCTGAGAGCGATGCACTCAGCATTTCATCTTAAGGGTCTTTAGCTGGTGTGTTGTCCTGCGCCTGTACTCACAGCTATTCCAGAGGCTGAAGCAGGAGGATCACTTGACCTTGGGAGCTGGAGGCTGCAGGGAGCTATGATCACGCCACTGCACTCCAGCTTGGGTGATGGAGTGAGACCCTGTATCAAAATCAAAAAGAAAAGAAAAGAAAAATTTATAAGGTGTGAGTGAAACAACACCTCTAGGGATGACGAGAAGAGTTGAATTATGAGGGTGAGATAAAAAATAAGTAGAAACAGGATTTAAGAGGTACGGGGGAAAGTGGTTTAGAAAAACAAACAGGCTATTGCCAAACAGAAGGAGGTGTAGAAAAGGGGAGTTTTTAACAACTCTTTAAGGAATGGGAGAAAGATTGGAAGATGGAGAAGATAAGTTAGCTTGGCTCATGCTAAATTCGGTGTATCTGTGGGGCACACTGTGAGGATGTTACATGGAGAACTCAGGCAATTGACTCTCCAGCCTGGGGTTTGTGAGCATTAGTAGTAGTAGACATATTGCATAGAGGGTGGATAAAGACTAAAAAGGGTCCTTTTAGATTTGGGAATTACAAACCTATTCACGATATTTGTTTAAAAGAAAAAAAAGCCGGGTGTGGTGGCTCACGCCTGTAATCCCAGCACTTTGGGAGGCCAAGGCGGGTGGATCACCTGAGGTTGCAAGTTCGAGACCAGGCTGGCCAACATGGTGAAACCCTGTCTCTACTAAAAATACAAAAATTAGCTGGGTGTGGTGGTGCATTCCTGTAATCCCAGCTTCTCGGGAGGCTGAGGCAGGAGAATTGCTTGAACCTAGGAGGTGGAGGTTGCAGTGAGTGAGATCATGCCATTGCTCTCCAGCCTGGGCAACAAGAGTGAAACTCTCTCTCAAATAATAATAATAATAATAATAAAGTAAAAAAAAATTTTTTTTAAAGTTTGCTCCTCTATGTTCTTGAACCCTGGTATTTATTATTATTTATCATGATTAGGGCTGTGTTCTTTGAACTACATAAGAAGATGAGAAGAAAATCCATTTCCTGACACCAAATTTCTAGTGACTGTTAACTCTTTCTCATTCTGATTTACTCATATATGAGCCTTTGCCAACACTCATGAAATAACATTGATCCCTTGTAGAACTGGCAGAAAACAGCAGGTTATATGGCAGACTTGTCTTTTCGGTTGGCTGATGGAATTTCTAGAACAAAAATAGGAAGCACTGAATGCTAGGTTTCACTGAATAAGAAACAAGAGAAGTGTTACACACAAAACTAGTGTTTGTGTGTGTGTTTGACTGTCTGTGTGTGCATGTAAATGCTAGGGAGATAATCTTAGCTCTTTGATGCTGCAGAAGTAATATTAGGACAATTTGCAGAAACACTCCTTCATCATTATGTCATGTTGCACCCAGAGAAACCTGGATGTCTACTGGATTCTTGGGAATTCATCATAATATGAAGGTCTGCTTTTTTGTTTGCCTCTTGAAAAGGAGAGAATTTTAAATAATTAAATATCTGTAGCTCTCTTCTGACTAACAACAACACGACTGAAACACAGTTTTTTTTGTAAAAACTGTGGGATGAGCTTATTTAACACAGAATTCCTCTGAGGAATTAAACATTTAATCCTGAAGACAGAACACCCTCATGTGATACATACTCAATTCAGAAAACCTAAAAATATATAAAGTATCTGTTTAAACCTGCACTGTCCAATATGGTTACCATTAGCCACACTGGCTATTGAATGCTTGAAATTGCCCAGTCCAAGTTAAGAGTGTTGTAAGTGTAAAATACATATCAGATTTGGCCAGGCACAGTAGCTTGCGTCTGTAATCCCAGTACTTTGGGTGGCTGAGGTGGGTGGATCACAAGGTCAGGAGTTCGAGACCAGCCTGACCAACATGGTGAAACCCCATCTCTACTAAAAATACAAAAATTAGCCTGGCTTGGTGACACACACCTGAAATCCCAGCTACTTGGGAGGCTGAGGCAGGAGAATTGCTTGAACCTGGGAGGCTGAGGTTGCA
Organism: Homo sapiens; assembly: GCF_000001405.40. Classification (NCBI taxonomy): domain Eukaryota; kingdom Metazoa; phylum Chordata; class Mammalia; order Primates; family Hominidae; genus Homo; species Homo sapiens. The sequence goes on from NT_167246.2 coordinate 26,533, forward strand.
GTGAGCCGACATCGGGCCACTGCACTCCAGCCTGGGTGACAGAGCGAGAATCCTTCGCAAAAAAAAAAAAAAAAAAAAAATATATATATATGTAAATATATATATACATACACACACCAGATTTCAAAGATGTGTAATACTATTTTTTAAATATAAAATATCTCACTAATAATTTTATAATTGATAGCTTCTTAAAATAAGTTTTTGGATATACAAAGTGATTTAAATATATTATTGAAACTGGACATAAAAGATAGCAACAACAAACACTGGGGACTATGGGGAGGGGTGGGAGGGAGGGCAGAAAGATTTGAAAAGCTACCTCTTGGGTACTATGCCTACTACCTGGGTGATGGGATCAATTGCACTCAAAACCTCATGCAATTTACCCAGCATCATGTAGTATACCCATGTAACAAACCTGCACGTGTACCCCCAAATCTAAAATAAAAATTGAAATTACATAAAAATATAAATATTGACTTTTTTTAATGCAACTACTGCAAAAGGTAACACTACAAAATGGCTGTCATTTAAAACTTGTATTATCTCTTGATTGGACAGAATTGTCTAAAGACAATGTTATCCATTTAGGTGCTGTTCTGGGAGAATCCCAGAAGCAGAGAACACGGAGCATGATCTGCCAGTAATTAAGTTTCATGCTGTGAGTGGACTTGACAGAATGCATTTCTATGCATGATCTCCTTTGATCTTTACAACATCCCATTTTACAAAATCATTATTAACATCATTTTTAAGCCATTGAATGGCAGACAAATCATGCTTGGAATTGCCCTAGGCCTTCCATTTCAACAGAATGTAAAGGAATCTTTACTGCGTTAGGCACAAAACATTCAATGTTACTGTTTGTCTAGTCAAATATTTCTTAATGGAGTAAAACACAAGCTTCTGAGTTGAGAAAGCCTCAGTGAAAGGATAAAGTACCTGATTCCCAGTTTCTGTACAGTCAATGTCCCTAACCCAAGGTTACTTCTCATTTGGTACTAATTTTCCTTTTGCAACTTGCTGCAGTTCTGATAGTGGAGTATTGTAGATTATTGTCTCCTCACAGGGTATGCAGAAGTTAGAGAAAAACAACACTGAAACTGAAGCAGTAATTTGAAAGAAAAAAAATCAAAATGACCAAAAAAAGACCTATTATCCCAACAGAGAATTTCAAGAGAGGAGTTGAAGTGAAAAAGGGAAAATGGGGCACATGCACCTGAGTCTTGACTTTGCTGCCCATTTGCTTTCATTTTCAGTATTCTAGAGCCCCTCATGAATGTTTGATAAAATAATTCATATAGAAATACATATATTTCTTTTTTCCTGGATACAAACATGGAAACAGCTTAAGATTTGGAAATTCTAGACAAGGTTGCCAGGCTAAAGAAATGTCTTCTCAGCAAGAAAATTTAGAATGTTCTTGTAATTGGGCCTGGTGCGATGGCTCCTGCCTGTAATCCAAGCACTCTGGGAGGCCTACCTAGGCAGGTGGATTGCTTAAACCTAGGATTTAAAGACCAGCCTGGGCAACACGGTGAAACCCACAGTCTACAAAAAAAATACAAAAAAAAAAAAAAAAAAAAAATTTAGCCAGGCATGGTGGTGCTCGCCTGTAGTCCCATCTACTCAGGGTGCTGACATGTGGAGTCACTTCAGCCTAGAGAGGTTGAGGCTGTAGTGAGCTCTGATTGTATAACTGTACTCCAGCCTGGATGACAGAGTGAGACCCTGCTTAAAAGAAAGAAAAGAAAGAAGAAAGAAAGAAAGAAAGAAAGAAAGAAGAAAGAAAGAAAGAAAGAAAGAAAGAAAGAAAGAAAGAGAAAGAAAGAAAGAAAGAGAAAGAAAGAAAAAAAAAGTTCTTACAGCACTTTAATAATGGAGTTGACTCAAGATACAAACCCGGGTTTTTCTAATTTCAAAATGTTTCTTGCATACACCACACCCCCATATATATGCTCATACAGTATAATAGTTACTTCACTGTATGTTTCTTTTTTTCATATTTCTTGTGATTTAAAAATAACCCTCGCCCAATACATATAAATAATATCAAATCAAAAATGACTTGTAAATGCCACAGCATATAGCACGTTGGAATTTCTTAGGTTTTAAAACTAATAACTTCCTAAGTTTAAGACTTTAAATAAGGACGGGCTTAGTGGCTCACGCCTGAAATCCCAGCACTTTGAGAGGCCGAGGCAGGTGGATCACCTGAGGTCAGGAGGTCGAGACCAACCTGATCAACATGGCGAAACCCTGTCTCTACTAAAAATACAAAAATTAGCCGGGCATGGTTGCGGGGGCCTGTAATCTCAGCTTACTTGGGAGGCTGAGATATGAGAACAGCTTGAACTCAGGAGGCGGAGGTTGCAGTGAGCCGAGATCGCGCCGTTGCACTCCAGCCTGGGCGACGGAGTGAGACTCCGTCCAAAAACTTTAAATAATTTATGTAATGAGAGCACTTCATGGAAGACTTCAGTGGAATATACAAAGGAGAGAGTGATACAAACATGTACATTACCTTTATCAGACTTTCAAAAACTCCCAAAAATTGGAGATATGTAAGCTTCTGGGATTGGCGTATAAGTGCTGTATAAGGGAGTGATAATTAGGCAGAACTCAAAAGATGCTGGCTGAAACCCAGGGTTGAACCAGGGAACTTTAAGATCTTCAGTCTAACGCTCTCCCAACTGAGCTATTTCAGCTACTCTAAGCACACACCCTTAGTCATTTCTTCAAAATATAAAAACGTCATTTGTAGAGTGAGTGTATTTTCTAATGCCTAATTCTGTTTTGTTCAATATCAATACAAAAATTAGCCAGGGGTGGTGGTGCGCGCCTGTAATCCCAGCTACTAGGGAGGCTGAGGCAGGAGAATTGCTTGAACCCGGGAGGTGGCGGTTGCAGTAAGCCGAGATCACGCCACTGCACTCCAGACTGGGCGATAGAGGGAGATTGTCTAAAAAAAATAAATTAAATAAATAAAATAAGTGACAGGAAAAGAAAGAAAAGAAGGATCTCTTATGTCCTCCAGTACATTCTATCTCTTCCTTAGAGTTTTTAAAATTGTGGTCTCCACACTGGTGCATAACAACTCTTTTTTGTTGTTGTTTTCGAGACAGGGTCCCGCTCTGTTGCGTGGGCTGGAGTGCAGTGGTGCAATCTCGGCTCGCGGCAACTTCTGCCTCCCCGGCTCAGTGGATCCTCCCACTTCAACGGAGGGAGAGGGAGTCTCGCTCTGTCGCCCAGGCTGGAGTACAGCGGCGCGGAGTAGCTGGGATTACAGGCGCGCGCCACCACCCCTGGCTAATTTTTGTGTTGATATTGAACAAAAAAGAATTAGGCATTAGGAAATACGCCCACTTTACAAATGAAGATTTTTATATTTTGAAGAAATTGCTAACGGCACGTGCTTAGAGTAGCCAAAATTGCTCAGTTGGGAGAGCGTTAGACTGAAGATCTAAAGGTCCCTGGTTCGATCCCGGGTTTCACCAGGTTTGTTTGGTTTTTTTAGTTCTGCCTAATTATCACTCCCTTATACAACACTTGCACGCCAATCCCAGAAGTGTATATATCTCAATATAAATTCTTACGTTAAGTCAAAAGTGTAAAAACATTGAACTTCTCTGGTTAGACATAGGAACAAATTCAGATGTTTACAGAATTTCGGAAACAACCCTCTCTGGAATGAGAAAATTGCTGAGGCCGACGATGATTTGCAAACTGAATTTTAATAAAACCTTTTCTATGTCTTAACAGTTTTCAAACTCAATCTCCTGAGAGTCGAGGCTTTCTATTTTTAGCCAAAATACGGTGGGAGGGTCAATTAGGATATATTTTTCAATTATTTCCTCAAAAAAAGTTTTAGATTCTCTTACAGACTTTTTTCTCCCCTTGTAAGGTCTGAGCCTTCTCAGACAGGAAACAACATTCCTCTACTCTAGTTTTATCCCCGCCACGCGTCTCTCCCCAGCTGAGTGCAGCCTCAGCCTATGGTGCAAAAATGTTTAAAGCTGAGCATACAGAGAAGGAAAAGAAGAAAAAAAAAATAGAAAGTGATGTGGAAAGATCTACATATGAATCACAACACAGTGTTTAAAATGTGCGTAAACGGGTCTAGGAGTGCGCTGCACTATTGTGAAAAGTTCATTCTGAAAGCTGGGCGCAGTGGCTCATGCCTATAATCTCAGAACTTCGGGAGGCCGAGGCGGACGGATCACTTGAGATCAGAAGTTGGAGACTATCCTGGTGAAAATGGTGAAACCCCGTCCCTACTAAAAATACAAAAATTAGCCGGGCGTGGTGGGGGGCTCCTGTAATCTCAGCTAATCGGGAGACTGAGGCAGGAGAATCGCTTGATCCCAGGAGGTGGAGGTTGCAGTGAACCGAGATCGCGCCACTGCACTGCAGCCTGGGCGACAGAGCGAGACTCCGTCTCAAAAAAACAAAAACAAAAAACAAAAACAAAAGCAAACAAAAAACAAAAACAAACAAACAAAAAGTAAACGGGAGGAGCCGAGCGCCAGCTTGCGGGGAGACGGAAGAGGCGGGGTGCCGTGAAGTGGAGGAAGCAAAGGACAAAAGGGAGAGAGGTAGAGGGCAAGGAAAAGCATCCTCAAGATTATTAGTACTTGGATAGACTGGATGGTAGAGTGAGTCTGATCGCCACATCTCTCCGTCCCTTCCTCTGGATAGGAGGGAAGAGAGGTTCCTTTTTGTCCCTAGGGGGGTAGGCTCGACCAGGAAGGGGACCTGGTTCGTTTCGCCCAGGCTGGCACGGCTTCAAGAGCGCCTCACCTCTCTTTACGTTGCTGGACAGACCAGTTGAGCTCTTTGGGTATGCACGTAATGTCGCATTTTTATTTTCAGTTCAGGAAATGCTGATATTGGAGCTTCTGAGGGAGCTGCAGTGATTTCCCGATTTCCTGCGCGCCTGTGTGGAAAGTTAGAAGCGGAATCTACCGGCAGCTTTGAGACTAAGCATGACGGTGGAAACAGCTAATTTTATTAGCTTTTGTCTGAAATGCAAAAGATGAGAAAGAAAATTCCCGTTTGTTTGCTCCACATACTTCTCTTAGAAGCCTATGGAAAGCCAACTTTCCCCCTGAAGAAACTCCTCCTGGCATTTGCAAAGAGCTCCTTTACTCCTCTTGTCCAGCTCTTCTCTCAAAAGGACTCTGCAGAGCTGGACAGCGGCTGCGGAAAGGCGAAGTTGTTGTACCCGAGCGAGTTAGAGAAATGCCACACTTTGAGACGAATTTAAGAGTCCTTTATTAGCCGGCGACCAAAAGAGGACTAACGCTCGATATTCTCTCGGCCCCGAGGAAGGGGCTTGATTTTCCTTTATACTTTGGTTTAGAAAGGGGAGGGGGAGCTTAGTTGCAGCAATTCTACAGAAGTAAAAGCATGCAAAAAAATTAAAAAGACAAATGGTTACAGGTAAACAAACAGTTCCAGGTGCAGGGGCTCTAAATCTATCATAAGGCATTAGGTATGGGGGTTCTGCCAGACACAAACTCAAGGCTTTATGGTGTTATCTCTTGAGTGAAATCCTGGGAACTTCGTGCATTGTTTGCTTCAGTACCTTATCAGTTAATTGGACTCTGATATGTTGAGAGTCAGCTTACACAAGTTAACTGCTTGAGGAAGGGGGTGGGTAAGGAGTCCTTGATGTTTTGTAAATGAAGGAGCCAAATGGAGTTCGTCCAGCTTTCTCAGCTAAGGGACAGCCTATTCATGTGGAAATAAGGCTAGGTGATTAACGGAGAGTCTAAAAACAACGTTAGGTATTACATTCCCCACTTGTGTTTTTGGGGAATCAAATCGTTGATTCCTCAGTTATAATAAGGGGGTCATATTGAGTTCTAAGATACATAAATTTGACAGAAGCTATGCGTTGTTTTACAAAGTTAAGAAACTAATTTAATATACACGGCCTGAAAATTAAGCTTAATAGTAGGATGAGGAGGGGTCCAACTAACCTAGTGACTAGAGTAGTTAGCCATGGATTCCAGTTAAACATGCTTTGATACCAGGGGATGTTATTTTCTCTTTCTTGTTGGCATCTATCTAGATTTTCTCGAACCTTTTGGAGAGTATCTTTTATGACTCCAGACTGATTGGCATAGAAGCAACAACTTTCTCCTAGAGCTGCGCATAAACCTCCTTGAGAGAGGAATAGTAGATCTAAGCCTCAGCGGTTTTGAAGAACTACTTCAGCTAGAGACTCTACCTGGGAATGTAACAAATCTACGACAGACTGGAGGTTACTTAAATTAGCATCTACCTGTTGAGATAGGGCCATTATTCCAGTTTCTCCTTGAACTAGGGCTGCTGATCTGGCTATGCTAAGGCTGGCCAAGAAGGGAACTAGGAGCAGGGCAGCTAGCGAAACCTGGGATCTAACTCAGGGGGAGAAATGAGAAGTTGTCCTTCTGGTCCACTGTACACGTATACCCAGGGAAGTACATGAACTTACATGCACAGGAGAGGTCCTGGTTCAGTTCCATTAATGCAGTGAGTGAGACTTGAAGTGCAGGCCAACCAGGTATTGTTAGGCACTTGGTAAGAGACTGAGGTGCTTATGGAAGTAAGCAGGGACTGATTACAAGTAGTCTGAAAGGGAGAAGCAGATAAGTTATACCCGGTACTAATTAGACAAGAAGCGTTTCCAGACACATCCCTTAGTGTGAGGGCACAGGGTCGTGCACGACAAGATAAAGGGCCACTTTTAAGTGTGGCCTCTACTCCTAAGCCTACATAATAAGGGGGTTTTGCTTTTAGACATAGCCAACAATCTTGGGCTAGTTTAGGCTGGGTGAGGTTAAGAAGGTGATGTACCCTGCCTAGTATGGACATCAGGCTGTGTTGAAGATATTGTTGCTGCAGCTGGGGTTTAGGAACTAGGAATGGTGGCGGAACAGTTAAATCGACCTTGTCAGGGTGTTTTTGGAACATAGGGTCGCCTAGATCAGTTAAAGGCCTGATTGGCTTGGGTGGGCTCCATGAGACCAGGATTTTCTTCTGGATGGCGAACATAGTCTTAACATCAAATCCTGGGATATAAAGCCTTAATCCTTATGACATGCCATAATACCATCGAGCTGAATTAGGGTCATGGACAGTTATAGTAAGAGGATTACAATTTTTTCTAGTACACAATCTAGGATGGGAAGCACGACTTATGGAAAGAGTTGAAGATCCGGTTGATCTCCCAGAGTTAAGTGTCTAAAGTTACACGTGTCCAATCAGGGCAGAAAAACTGGTAAATATCTCAACAGCTAGAGTCAGGGTGATTTCCAGGACAGAGGTAAAAGTCAACATTCTGAAGTCCTTTTTCCGCACCTTTGGAGCTCCCACATCCAGTCTGGCTCCCGGAGTGTCCAAATCCTGCCAAAAGGTCAACGCTTCCTGCCCCCTTGACTGTCAGATTGTGTTACTCTTTGTAGGTACGGGCTGGTTCTGGGAACAGTGCACATAAATCAACTGCAAAGGAGACTTCCTTGGAGGTTCCTGCCCTCCAAGTACTGTTTGCGAATATACGTCTTGTCATGAAATAGGTGAGAAGAAGGGAATAGGAAGGTGCAGAGGACATGACAGGCAAAAACCAAAAAGAGAAGTAAATAAAAAGAATTAATCTAATGGCTTCACCCGACTTAGGCACAGTTTTAAGGGGCCTGACCCAGGCTTGGGGACCTATGTTTCTTGCTGGGCTTTGTTGGCCTTTTTGATGCGGGAGTGACGAATCCAAGCAGGAATGCCATCCACCTTCAGAGCTGTTGGCATGGTGAGGATGACAGTATGAGGTCCTATGTAAGCAGGAGTGAGTCCTTCTCTCTGGAACTTTTTAACAAACACCAGGTCACCTGGCTGGAATGAGTGGCAGGGCCCCATCTGGTCAGGAACCGGATTGGGATGGGCTCCTCGGAAAAGTGGCTGGATGATATCTTGTACCTGTTGGAGAGACTTTAGCTACTGTAATAAATTAGCTTGTGATATTTCTGCCAAATTGGTATCCCTTAGCTTAGGCAAGATAGGTGGAGCCTTCCTATACATGATTTCAAAATGTGAAAACCTAGCCCAGTAAGGAGTGCACCTTACTCTAAGAAAGGCTAAAGGAAGGAGCCTTACTCAGTTCTCACCGGTCTCTAAGATTAACTTTGTAAGAGTGCTTTTTAGGGTGCGGTTCATGCGTTCTACCTGCCCAGAGCTCTGGGGTCGATAGGCACAATGGAGCTTCCATTGAATGTGTAATGCCTTACTGACTGACTGAGCTATGGACGAGGTGAAGGCCAGTCCGTTATCAGACCCTATGGCAGCAGGCAGCCCATGTCGAGGGATGATTTCATTGAGTAAAAACCTAACTACCATGGTGGCAGTCTCATTCTTGGTGGCAAATGCCTCAGTCCATACGGAGAAGGTGTCTACTAGTACTAGAAGGTATTTGTACCTAGCCCGGTGTGGTTTTATTTCTGTAAAGTCAACTTCCCACCTTTCTCCTGGCAAGTTTCCTCAAAGACGGTGGCCTGGGCTGGGTTTAGCACCTTGCTTGGCGTTTACCTGGGCACAAGTTGTACACCGGAGAGCTGCTTGATCTGCTAAGCTTTGAAGATAGGGAATCTTAAAATGGCTCTAGAGGAGCCGGGCCAGTTTTGCTCCTCCTAAATGGGTGGTAGAATGCAGGCGACTGATTAAAGTTTCCCCGAGAGAGCTCGGGGTATGAAGATTCTGGAGTCAGGAAGAATCCACCAACCTTCCTGATTTTTATTGGCCCTGAGATCTGAAGCTAGTTTTTTTTCTTCCGTTGAGTACGCGGGATTGTAGGGCAGATCTGGCTGTGGAAAGGAGACTGTGGGTAATAAGTTTAGAGGCATGACTGGAAGTCTGGCTGCATCCCGGGCCGCTGAGTCAGCTTTCTGGTTACCACGGGCAATGGCCGTGTTTTCTCCTGGATGTCCTTTGCAGTGGATTACAGCCACCTGCTGAGGGAGCCATACGGCTTCAAGCAGGGCTAGAATTTCTTCTTTGTTTTTGATAGTCTTTCCTGCTGAGGTGCCCACGCTCCTGATAGATGGCTCCATGTACATGTACAGTAGTTAAAGCATACCTGCTGTCAGTGTAAATGTTAATAAGTTTATCCTTACCCCATCGGAGAGCCTGAGTGAGGGCGATCAATTCAGCTTTTTGTGCCGAGGTATTTGCCGGTAAAGCCTGGGCCCATAGCACATCTGTCTTTGTAGTAATGGCTGCACCAGCCTTTCGTACTCCCTGTTTTGAGAAAGCTGCTACCGCCTGTAAACATGGCGGCGTCCACCTTCTTTAGGGGCACATCTTGGAGATCAGGTGGGCCAGTTTCTGTAGTTTCTAACAGTTCCTGGCAGTCATGGACAGGTGTAGTGAAGTCTGGATCAGGGAGTAAAGTAGCTGGATTTAAACACCTTCTGGGAGAGAAAGTCAAACGAGGCTGATCTAACAGTAAACTCTGATACTGCAGGATGCGAGCATTTGACATCCATTTGCCAGAAGCACTTCGTAATAAAGTCTCTACGGCATGAGGAGCGGTAAAGGTTAAATTTTGACCTAGAGTTAACTTATCAGCCTCTTAGACTAGGCTTGCTGTTGCCACTATGACTCGCAGACAAGTTGGCCATCCAGAGGCCACAGGATCCAGCCTCTTAGACAAATAGGCCACTGGGCATCTCCAGGGTCCTAAAGTCTGAGTAAGCACCCCCTTAGCAACTCCCTGGCTTTCGTGGACAAACAGGTGAAACGGCTCTGGGATATTTGGGAGGGCTGGAGCAGGGGCTTCAGTTAATGCCTTTTTCAGATTTTGAAAAGCCTGTTCTTCTGTGTCCATCTAAACTAGCCGGCTATTCCCTCCTGTAGCAGTGTACAGGGGCTTCGCAATCTCCGCGAACCCCGACATCCATAGGCGACAGTATCCTACGGCCCCCAGGAATTCACGTACCTGTCTCTTGGTGGTGGGAGTGGGGATTCGTAGGATGGCTTCTTTCCGGGCACTGGTGAGTGCCCTTTTTCCTTGGCTTATGTCGTATCCTAGGTAGGACACTGTGGGAAGACAAAGCTGGACCTTCTTGGCTGAGACTCGATACCCGAGCTCCTGAAGGAGGTAAAGTAGGTCCCTAGTATGTTGCAGGCAACTGTCTTTAGTTTCAGTAGCTAATAAAAGGTTGTCCACCTACTGAAGAAGAGTACAGTTAAGGTGACTAGCTTGGAATGGTATAGGATCCTGCTGGAGGGCCTCTCCAAAAAGGGTGGGGGAATTTTTAAAACCTTGAGGTAACTGAGTCCAAGTCAATTGGGTAGTGTCTCCTGAGCTAGGATCTGTCCATTCAAAAGCAAAGATCAGTTGGCTCTTGGGGGCCAGAGAAATAGCAAGGAAGGCATCCTTTAGGTCAAGGACAGTGTATATACTGTAAGTTCTGGCGGGAGCAGGTTGAGTAGAGTATAAGGATTGGGGACAGTTGGATGGACAGTAACAGTCTGTTTGTTAACTTCCCTTAAGTCCTGTACCGGCTGGTAATCATTCGTTCCGGGTTTCTGGACCGGCAAAAATGGAATATTCCAGGCGGACTGACACGGTGTGAGTATGCCAGCTTGTAACAGTCATTGAATATGGGGATTAATCTCCTGTCTAGCCTGCTGACTCATAGGATATTGCTTTACCTGGACAGGCAAGGCAGTGGCCAGGAGTTCTACAACCACTGGTGGATGGTGTTTAGCCAGTCCTGGGGGGTTTGACTGGCCCAAACTCTGGGAAAGAGTGTCTGTAAGTCCAACAGGAGAGGATTAGTATTATTTTCCAGTGGTTGTGATGGTGACACTAAAAGATTTTCCTCTGACAGAGGGGTAGTTAGCAGGAGTTGGGCAGTGGGGGGCGCTGTATTTCCTAGCATGACGTTAGCCTGCTGGGCTGAGAAGGAGATAGAGGCCTGTAACTTATGGAGCAGATCTCCTCCGAGGAGAGGAAAAGGACACTCTGGAACCACAAGAAATGACTGTCTCACTCTTTTCTGTCCCAAGCTCACTTCTCGTGAGTGTGTGACAGGATATTCCTGAATAGCTCCAGTAGACCTTTGTACAGCCACTCTTTTATTAGAGACACTGCCCAAGGGGGTCTGTAGTACCGAGTGCTCCGCCCCGGTAGCTACTAGGAAGCGTACAGGCTGGCCCCTCACTGTAGCGGTCACCGTGGGCTCCTGGGGGCCAAGAGAGAGGGAGTCCTGGCTCCATCAGTCATCAGACTCTTCCGTTGCGGGGAGGGTGAGGGCCTTTTTCTTTTCTGATTTTTCCTCTGGCCGTAGTGGGCATTCCTTTTTCCAGTGCCCAGTCTGCTTGCAATAAGCACATTTGTCCTTTTCTAGGGGAGCCTGTTCTCCTCTTTTGCCCTTCTGGTAGGGACCTGAGGTTCCCTGGCTATTCCTCTGTGATGGGGGCCTTCCCTTCTTGACCTCTCCGATGGCCGCAGCTAAGATTTTTGCTTGTCTTTTGTATGCTTTATCAGCTGCTGCCTGTGCTGTTTGTTTTCTTTTTTCAAACTCTCGATTGTCAAAAACTTTTTGGGCTATCTCTAAAAGCTGAGTGATATTCATCCCAGGAAATCCCTCCAGTTTTTGGAGTTTTCTTTTAATATCAGGGGCTGCCTGAGCCACAAATGCCAAATTAAGAGCACGGCTATTTTCGGGAGCCGCCGGGTCAAAAGAGGTGTAAGTCCGATAGGCCTCCTGGAGGCGTTCTAAAAACGCTCCCGGTGACTCATCAGGCCCTGTGCGACTTCAGTCATCTTAGACAAGTTTATGGGTTTCTGAGCAGCTCCTTTGATACCTGCAAGGAGATACCGGTGAAAATCGTCCAAAGCTTTCTTCCTACCCGAGGAATTCGTGTGCCAGTTAGGCCGGGTAGAGGGAAAGACCTCCTCAAGAAAGTCTCTAGCTTCCTCCTCTGGCCTATTGGCTGATGTGAGGAAATACTTTCTGGCCTCTCTTCGGATATGTTCCCTCTCTTCAGAGGTAAAAAGGGTCAAAAGGAGCTGCTGACAGTCATCCCAGGTGGGCCGATGGGTCCGGAGCACAGACTCCATCAGTGAGATCAAGACCTGGGGCTTTTCAGAGAAGGGAGGATTATGAGCCTTCCAGTTACAGAGGTCAGAAGGAGAAAAAGGGACATAAACCAAGAATGGGGCTGAGCGCTCATCACCCGGAGGGACTTGTGCTTCTTTCCGCGGTAGAGGGGGGGCTACTTCCTCCTGCCGCGGCCGCAATCGAGAGGCAATAGGCGGCGAGCCTACAGGGGATGTAGTCGAGGAGACAAGGGAAGATTCTAAGGGAGCAGGACGGTTATAAGGCGGCGGAACTGAGTGGGGGAGACTCTCCTCTTCTTCAGAGGGAGGCAGTACAGGGTGAGCCGAACAGACTGAGGGTCCAGGCGGAAGTGCGGTCTGGCTCAAAACGACCTTGGAGGCAGAATTATGAATGGCGCATGAGCGGAGCCATGGTGGGGAGCTTCTGACCAAACTCAGCCATTGATCAATGTGGGGAAACTGATCGGGGTGGCCGGGAGTTCCAGCAACAACCCGCCACACAGCCTGAACAATTGCTAGGTTCAGTGACCCTACTGGGGGCCATCCGACTCCAAACTTTGGCCATTCTACTTCGCAGAGTGTCCGGAGTTTGCCTTTTTAAAGGCGGACCCCATAATCCTCTGAGAAGCCTAGAGAAAAATTCTGCAGCATACATTGGAGGGGGCTCCAATCCTTACAGGGCCGGGAAGAGGAGTTTCCCATTTTTGGAGGCAGTTTGACAAGGTTTGAGCAGGGATATCAAACCCAGCACGGACAGAAAAACTCATTCCCTAGGGGGCTGGAGTATCGGAAGAACAGAATTAACATAACCAGAAGGAGCCGAAAGACAACAATAGCTCACACTACTTGCCACAGGACGGTTAACTAGCTTTAAGATTGAGGGAGGTCGGGCGCAGTGGCTCACGCCTGTAATCCCAGCACTTTGGGAGGCTGAGGCGGGCGAATCACGAGGTCAGGAGATCGAGACCATCCTGGCTAACACGGTGAAACCCCGTCTCTACTAAAAATACAAAAAATTAGCTGGGTGTGGTGACGGGTGTCTGTAGTCCCAGCTACTTGGGAGGCTGAGGCAGAAGAGTGGCCTGAACCTGGGAGGCGGAGCTTGCAGTGAGCTGAGATCGCGCCACTGCACTCCAGCCTGGGCGACAGAGAAGACTGTCTCAAAAAAAAAAAGAATAATTATCCAAGATTGAGGGAGGAGGACTAGAGGCCAACCTTAGGTCTCCTTGGCTGGATGGACCTAGGCGTCCTCCCTCTTTCCCTGGACCTGTAGCCTAAATACTTTTGGTGTCTCCACGACTCAAAGGCAAATAGCTCAAATTCGGCCTTTTCTTTTAAGAGTTTGAGGAGTGAGAGCAGAGCCAAGTCCTGGAGACGCTGAACTTGCTGTGACACGGGAAAACGAGATGTACGGGGTAAGTGGTAGGGATGAGGAGGAAAAAGGGCCACTCGGATCTTTCCTAGGGTAGGAGAGTAGCCACAGAGGAATAGAATAAGGGTTTAAACGAAGTAAAGTGGTACGGGCGTAGGTTTCTCTGCACAGTGCCGTATTTAAGGGCACAGAAAAAGTTACGGGATGACAAAAGAGGTGAGCAAGGAGGTCTGCAGGGTGGCTATTTTGAACCTACCACCGGTTTAGTCTGGAGGTGGCCCAGTCACTTGGACATGGGGTATGACAATCTAAATGCCAGCAATCTTCATGGTGCCAGAAATCCCAAACAGGCGAATGTTCCTCACACTCGTTCCCGTTCCCGTAACAACACCTGATTTGTTTCTGACAGAAAAGGCAGGACTGGGATGGCCAGCCTAAGCGATTGATGAGAAATTTAACCTCCTGTGATAAAAAATCAACACTAAAGACCTTGAAGAAGTTCCTGCCCAGACGTCTTGGGCAGTATCGATGACCTGACATACGAAACTTTGACAACCACTAAACAGGACAATAGACACCGAGCAGGACAACAAACACAAAACAAACAATAGACCCTTGGGTATATAAACAATTATGGTAGGTTTTTATTAGACAGACAAGGGGAGGGGGTCCCATGATGGGATCAGTCAGATGCCTGCCTGGCCGCTCCCCCTGAGGGGACTTGGGCTTCTCTTAGCATTGGCAGGCAGGTATAAACCCCCGGCTCGGATGGAGCTATGCCCGATGCTGCCTTAAGCCTTATGAGGTCGCCACGGAACGGCAGGTGAGGGCCCACTCGAACTCCGTAGCTTTCGCCGTGGAGCTACAAACTGGGGATCCAGAGGCAGGCCCCTGGACTCCTCAGTCGTGCACACATTCACAAAGAGTTTATAACAATTTTTGTTATTTCCCGTTCTAAACAAAGGTCCCAGAAGACCTGAACGAGAGGAGGAGAAGAGATAGAGCAAGGGGGAGAGAAAGAAAAAGAGGAGGAGAGAGTGAGAGACTAGTCTTAATGGAGAGGCCGGCCTGCCAGAAACCAGGGCTCTATCCTCCAGCGTCCTGGAGTATGGATAGAGTCAAAGAGAGGGACACCGTCGTCAGGGCTGCCTCCCTCTCACCAAACCAGAACCAAAAGGCGCCTAACAGAAAAACCAGGGCTCTGTCCTCCAGCGCCCTGGAAAAGCGGGCAGTGTCAAAGACAGGGATGCCCTCGTCAGGGCTGCCTCCCTCTCACCAAACAGAAGTCAAATCTAACTTACCTGACCCCGGGGTCAGAAGCTGAGGACTCAGAGGTTGAATTTTGTGGGCACACACACACGGTAGTCGATCCGCTGTCCTCCGGAAGACGGTCGCCTTTCGGGGACCTGGAAAATTTTTTTTCAGGTGGCTCCTCGCCTATAAGCCGGCCGTCCCTCCGGGGGAGCCCGGAGCTAGCCCGGCTCTCGCCCAGTGGCGAATATATCTCGCTGGGGCTTCCAAATGTTGTACCCGAGCGAGTTAGAGAAACGCCACACTTCGAGACGAATTTAAGAGTCCTTCATTAGCCGGCGACCGACAGACGACTAACGCTCGAAATTCTCTCGGCCCCGAGGAAGGGGCTTGATTTTCCTTTATACTTTGGTTTAGAAAGGGGAGGGGGAGCTTAGTTGCAGCAATTCTACAGAAGTAAAAGCATGCAAAAAAATTAAAAAGACAAATGGTTACAAGGAAACAAACAGTTCCAGGTGCAGGGGCTCTAAATCTATCATAAGGCGTTAGGTATGGGGGCTCTCCCGGACACAAACTCAAAGCTTTATGGTGTTATCTCTTGAGCGAAATCCTGGTAACTTCGTAAATTGCTTGCTTCAGTACCTTATCAGTTAATTGGACTCTTTGATATGTAAGAGTCAGCTTACACAAGTTAACTGCTTGAGGAAGGGGGTGGGTAAGGAGTCTTTGACGTCTTGTAAATGAAGGAGCCAAAAGGAGTACTTCCGGCTTTCTCAGCTAAGGAAGAGCCTATTCATGTGGAAACAAGGCTAGGCGATTAAGGGAGAGTCTAAAAACAAGGTTAGGTACTACAAAGTCGCGGTAAAATCGGTGTTAACTACGTGTGCAGCCACCTTTTCCTTAGTGCTATTCCTGAAGGAAATAATGTATACAGTGATCTATTTCCAAGACAAAGTGCCTTAAATTGGCTTAGGTCAGCAAAGTACAGAAGAAACAGGGTATACTAGGTCCCTGCTTGGATAGCGGATGCCTGCTTGTCGCCCCCCTCTTTCCTCCCCCTTCCCATCCCCCATCCTTGGTGGCCTTCACCCAAACAAAAACAGTTTAGTCTAAGATATAAGTTTACTAGTCTGCAAAATAGCTCACTTTGTCTGTTCTTATCAGCCTGCCCAGCTACTTAGGTCATAAGTCAAACACTTAAAGAGCCCTTGAGCTAACCAGGATTGCAATGCATTGTGGGCTGCAACAAAATGCAGCAAGACAACCCTAAAAAAGAGACACCTAAAGCCTTTGCCTAACAATCAGTAGGCAAACGCCGAGAAAATTGTAACCCCATAGCACTCAGCCTATGAGGAACCTGGGGAGGGACTTGCGCACTAGGGGACAAATTGCTTGTTGAAACTGTTCTGGGTGTGCCTGCACGCCAGACACCCGATCTTGATCTCTCAAGACCGTCATTAAAAGTCTCACTTTCGCTGTTCTCCGGGTCTCTGAGTCCATTCTTTGGGTTTAGATGGATGAGTTTATTTTCTCACATAACAGCTGCAGAGGTGGTACAGGTGAATCCCTCTCAAGTCAAGTGGGTTAACCTCAAAATTGACTTAAGGGGTGGTTTGTGATCGCCTGGTAGATGGTGGACGGTTACAGCTTTTAGAAAGTGAGTAAAAGAGATGATGCATACAGAAGCCCCACTGGGTTGCTTAGCTTCTGCACATGGAGAAAGAGGCTGCTTTTCTGCCTTCTAGGTGTTTAGTAACTTAATTTTTAATCCTTTGATGAAATAGAGTGGAAAATAAAAGGAGATTTTCTTTTAACAAAATAGTGTTAAGATGCTTGCCAAGTATCCCCCTGTGAATTTCTGCTTAGCACTGTGATATCAGAATTAGAAATTGTGCAGGGTTCTAATCTGGAGATATGGGATGTTCAGTAGCTAAGAAGGAAGTTATTCCTTGAAAGTAAGTACAGTGAGGTAGAAAAGGATCCATTGGGATTGGGAGAATAAAAGTTCATTATTTTTATTTATTAAAAAAAACAAAACAAAACAAAGAAATGAGGTTTTGGCTGGGTGCAGTGGCTCACGCCTGTAATCCCGGCACTTTGGGAGGCCAAGGTGGGCAGATCACGAGGTCAGGAGATTGAGACCAGCTTGGCCAACATGGTGAAACCCCATCTCTACTAAAAATACAAAAAATTAGCCAGGCGAGGTGGCAAGTGCCTGTATTTCCAGCTATTCAGGAGGCTGAGGCAGGAGAATTGCTTGAACCCAGAAGGCGGAGCTTGCAGTGAGCCAAGATCGCTCCACTGCAGTCCAGCCTGGGCAACAGAGTGAGACTTCATCTCAAAAAAAAAAAAAAAAAAAAAAAAAAAAAAAAAAAAAAAGAAAGAAAGAAAAAAGAAAAAAAAAAGAAGAAACGAGCTTCTACCCTAGATGGATCTTGGACTCTGGAGTTCAGAGAGCTTGCCATTTCAGACCAGAAACTTCCTTAAAGAACCAAGAGAAGTAATTTTCTCCCTGCTAAATTTCAGCTGAGGTGATTGAGATCTTTTCCTCATTTGTCATTATATTTGTCATTTGTCCTTATGTTTGTAGTTAAATAGCTTGGATTAAGTTTCAGAATTTGTCGGTCTCTAATGGAAAAAGTGACCACCAGCACATCACCAGCAATCATCAGCCACTTGTAGTGGAATCTTTTAGTGAAAGCTTGCAGGACTTTTGCAACCTGGGTGAGGAAGCAGTTAGAAGAAAGTAAGAAACGCAAAAGAACTTGAGCCTTAACCTTCTGATCTGAAATCAGACTTAGGTCACAGAATTCAATGGTTTCTGACTATTTTATTTAAACTGGAAATCGGCGGGATGGCAAGGAATACTACTTGCTTCTATAGTGTGTGATCCACATTAGTGATTTGTGGAACTAATTAGGACAGGGGGATAATTCTAAGCAACAAAGAACTGTAAGTGAATGAACACGAATTATCTCCCTGTATGAGAGAGAAATGCAGAGGCCAACACAATTCCCTTGAATAGGTGGGGAATATCATGGAGAACTTCCTAAGGTGGCTCATAGGAAAAAAAAGAGTGGAAATACTGGAAGTTGAACGCAGGACCTCACGCATGCTAACCACGTGCTCTGTCCCTGAGCTATACCCCCGCAGGAGATCAGGAGCTTGGGAAAATGTTTTGGTGATCTCCGTTGCCTGAGTCTGTGCTCTGTGTCATCAAGACAATCACTGTATGTTTCCAATTCCACTGTTTATGAATTCCCGACACTAAGCGCCCTCTCTCTCTCTCTCTCTCTCTCTCTCTCTCTCTCTCTCTCTCTCTCTCTCTCTCTCTCTCTCTCTCTCGGGCATGGCTACACCAGGAGAAAGATATCTTGTGGTAAAAACAAAGGCATTGTTCCTGATGTTCCTGATTTGTGGTCAGTCCAAGATCAACTCACCCCAAAGTGGTCTCCCCATCATATTAGACTTTCTGGAGCATAATTCCATTCTATCCCTTGAGTGACCTCCGGCATACAACATTCTCTTGCAAATTTTCTGATTATAACTTTTTTCTTTTGACTCTGGGAAGCATCTTAGTGTTTCCCATAGTCAAAAAATAAAACTCAGGTATGTGTGAAAATACCCTAAAATTCAGTACAAATAGAGGCAAATTAACTGCATTTCAAAAGAATAACATAACCACATTGAAGAGGAAAGAACTGATATAAGAAAATGGTTTACACAGATTGTTGTTCTAATTGTGAGATCAAAAAGAACATCGAACAAATCTTAAACTCTATGTATCAGGATTATTTTTTGTAGAGTGAGGGCTGTAGCAATTCTGATATTTTGTGTGAATTTTAGGATTGGGAAATCGAGTGTCTGTTGTTGGAAACAGACTCTCACTGTGGGAGAAGAAGGAAGGTAAAGAATAGTCCTGTTGATACTGATGGGAATTAGAGGCATCAGTATGAAATTGTACATATGAAATTGTAAAATTTCCCCACAGATCTATCTGCTAACTGGGCCTAGAAGAAATGATACCTCAGAAGCAATGAGCAAAGATAACTCTGTATCTTGATTTTCAAATACCATTCCCTACTAAAAGGAACCAGAGATACTAATAGAAAGTAGCTATTAGTGTCAACTACACAGACTCCAGGACTGTGCCAGGGAAACTGCAAAATGAACCTAAGATATCTTGCCTTGCCAGAATGTAAGTGCTCAGAAATGACGGGGGTGATTTAAAAGGACACAGAAGCCAGCTTGAAGGGAATCTCACTGGCCAAATCTGACACACTTTTAGCATCAGTGATGACAATAACTGATTATCATTCTTGGGAACTTAAACAAATAAATATGGAGGACGGGACGATTTTCCTTACAGTGGTTTGCCAAATGATAAATGTGAAAGTGAGTGCCGGGCGCAGTGGCTCACGCCTTTAATCCCAGCACTTTGGGAGGCTGAGGCGGGTGGATCACGAGGTCAGGAGATCGACACTATCCTGGCTAACACGGTGAAGCCCCCTCTCCACTAAAAATACAAAACCTTGGCCGGGCGTGGTGGCGGGTGCCTGTAGTCCCAGCTACTCGGGAGGCTGAGGCAGGAGAATGGCGTGAACCCGGGAGGCGGAGCTTGCAGTGAGCCAAGATTGCGCCACTGCACTCCAGCCTGGGCGACAGAGCGAGACTCCGTCTCAAAAAAATGAACAAAGAAACAAAGTGAGGATAAAATTTAAAAATCCCCATTTAAACAATACCATCAGAATGATGATAGATGCAGGCAAAATTTGTAAGTTAATGTTAAAGTATAGGTAAAAATTTGATGAGGATCAGGATATTTACGTAGTCTCAGAGTATTTCCCTGTAGATTATTTATTAATTACAATGAGGAAAATGATAATTTTTCAGGGAAGAAACAGTAATTACAAACTTAAAATCAAGTGATCAAGCTAACTTCAGTCAGCTCATGCCTCTTGGTGTGAGAGAGGGTAATAACGTGATTTCTGTGACATTTCTCCCAAATTCCATAACCCGATGTAATCTTATCATGGCTAATACAGATTAAGAAACGTTGCACAAAACCACTGGAAAAACTCTTCAAAAACATGTCGGTGTTGTGAAAGACAAGAAGATTAAGAAACTGTTCCAAATTAAAGGGCACTAAAGAGTCAAGACAACTAGATTCATATGTGATTCTGAAATGGATCCTAGCTTGGAAGAGAAATTTCTATAAAAGTTTTTATTGGTACAATTAGACAATTTTTAATAGACTTTATATTAGACTATATTCACATTTATCAATGTCAAATTTACTGAACTTGATAATTGTGTTGTGTTAAGGAATTGACCTTTTTCTTAAGAAATACACATTGAAGTATTTAAGAATAAAAAGATATGATGTCTGAAAATCATTATCAAATAGTTTAGAGAAATAATCTTTGTCTGATATATATATATAATACATACTACATATATATGATATGTATTCCAGTATTGTTGATTTGTCATTGAGGAAAAGATGTTTTGAAATTATCCCAAGATTTGAACAATATATGCTTCTCAGATGGTCCCACTTTATTTTAAATGTTGCAAGGCAGAGACAAAGGTACAAATTTCTCAATTTGTATTAGAATTTAGAAGGTGTTTTATTCTATTTTCCTTGTCACACTCCTTGCTTGTGAGTCAATCAACTAAGGACATCTGAAAGAGACAGAGTTTCTTTCTCAGAGTCAGGAGGTAATGAGGGGCTGCTCTGGTAGGGAAAGAAATAGTGAAGTTCTTTTTTGGAGAAAAGCAGCAAAAAAAAAAGAGAGTGACAGGAGAAAAAGAAAGAAAGAATGGAAGGAAGGGAAGGAGGAAAAGAAACAGTAAAGTTGACAAACAGAACTCCCTTCCCTCTTTATTAGTCTTCAGGAAATATAGAGTTTGAAACTATCATAGCCCAGGAAACCCTTTAAATAGGGCCATCAGTAGGCCAGAAATTTTGATTAGTGCCTTGAAAATAAAAGCATAGCCGGGCGCGGTGGCTCACGCCTGTAGTCCCAGCACTTTGGGAGGCCGAGGCGGGCGGATCACGAGGTCAGGAGATCGAGACCATCCTGGCTAACACAGTGAAACCCCGTCTCTGCTAGAAATGCAAAAAATTAGCCTGGCGTGGTGGCGGGCGCCTGTGGTCCCAGCTGCTCGAGGAGGCTGAGGCAGAGAATGGCGTGAACCCGAGAGGCGGAGCTTGCAGTGAGCTGAGATCGCGCCACTGCACTCCAGCCTGGGAGAGAGAGCGAGACTACGTCTTAAAAAAAAAAAAAGAAAAAAGAAAGAAAGTAAAAGCAGAAGTGATTAGACGGACAGGAAACAGCAGAGGAAATGGCTGCTGTTTCACTACAGTTAAAATGTCTTACACATCTGTGAACTATTTGTCCTCTTCTCAGAGGAGGGACACTTTTTTAGGTACTAAAAAAGAATTGTCTGGCACTTCATGGCAGCAACATGTTTGATGTTAACTGACATTTCCAGACATCCAGGTATGATTTTTATTTAGCGACTTTAAAAGAAGGATGAGAAAAAAAACAAAAAAACAAAAACAAACCATGAGCCAGGCGTGGTGGCCTGCATCTATAGTCCCAGCTACACCTACTCAGGAGGCTGAAGAGGAGGCAGGAAAACAGCTTGAGGTCAGGAGTTGGAAGCCCCAGTGCTCTACGATTGCCCTGGTGAATAGCCACTGCACTCTAGTCTGGTCATCAAAACAAGATCCCGTCTATTAAAAATAGAAAGAAAATAAAGGAAGAAAGAAAAGAAAGGAAGGAAGAAAGAAGGAAGGAGCGAGAGAGAAAGAAAGGAAGGAGAGAGGGCAAAAGGAAGAAAGGAATGGAGGGAGGGAGAGATTGACAGAACAGATTAGAAAACATAATCCAACTATACACTATCTAAAAGAAACTCATTTCAAATATAATTATATAAGCAGGCTGAAATTAAGGGGATAAAATATATTACATGCAAAAGTTAATCAAAAGAAAGCAAAAGTGACTATATTAATATAAACTTAAGAACAAAGAAAATCCACCAAGAAGGCATAACAATCCTAAATATGTATACACCAAACAGCAGAGCTGCAACATGTAAAAAAAAAAAAAAAAAAAAAAACAGGACCGGGCGCGCTGGCTCACGACTGTAATCCCAGCACTTTGGAAGGCCGAGGCGGGCGGATCACAAAGTCAGGAGATTGAGACCATCCTGACCAACATGGTGAAACCCCATCTCTACTAAAAAAAAAAAAAAAAAAAAAAAAAAAAGCTGGGCGTGGTCGTGCGCCCTGTAGTCCCAGCTACTCGGGAGGCTGAAGCAGGAGAATTGCTTGAACCTGGGAGGCGGAGGTTGCAGTGAGCCAAGATCGTGCCACTGCACTCCAGCCTGGGCAACAAAGTAAGGCTCTGTCTCAAAACAAAACAAAACAAAACACCCAGACAGGGCGCAGTGGCTCACGCCTGTAATCCCAGCACTTTGGGAGGCCGAGGTGGGCGGATCACCTGAGGCCAGGAGTTGGAAAGTAGCCTGGCCAACATGGTGAAACCCGTCTCTACTAAAAATACATACATTAGCCGGGCATGGTGGTGCAGTGGCGTGCACCTGCAGTCCCAGCTACTAGGGAGGCTGAGGCTCGAGAATTGCTTGAACCCGGGAGGTGGAGGTTGCAGTGAGCCGAGATGGTGCCACTACACTCCAGCCTGGGTGACAGAGCGAGACTCTGACTCATAAATAAATAAATAAATAAATGTAATACATAAATAAATATTTTAAAAAACAAAAAAGATAGAATTAAAAAAATCGACAAATGCAGTTACATTAGAGACTTCACTTCTCTCTCTCTCTTTTTTGTGAATTTGTTCTTATTGGGGAAGACGGCACAGGGTGGGAAATGTCGCCTTGGGCTATGGTATGCCCCACCTCCCAGAGAATGTCCATTTGCATTCTAATCTTCCTGGGATGCTTTATGGAACTTTTTCTTCTTCTTGGAGCTGCTCTTGCCAGCCGCCTCTTCAGGCCCACTGCTGACCAGCTCCTCTTTGGAGAATTTCCTCGTTTTCTTGGAGCCACTTCTGTGGCCTGACTCTTCGGTGTCATTAACTGTTTCCTCCTTGGGTGAAGACTTCTTCCTCTTGGGAAGACTGGTGCTGCCAGCGGTCTCTTCAAGATCGCTACTCATCAACTCCTCCTTGGAAAAAGATTTCTTTTTCTTGGGTTTGGAGAAAGAGATAGATGGGTCTTCCATTCCATTCTCCTGATGAATCTCCTGGGGCTTTTGCTTTTTCTTCTTTTTGGGTTTTTCAATCGTCTCCTCACACGCTCTGTCGCCCAGTCTGGAGTGCAGTAGCGCAATCTTGGCTCACTGCAAGCTCCGCCTCCCGGGTTCACGCCATTCTCCTGCCTCAGCCTCTGCGTAGCTGGGACTACAGGCGCCCGCCACCACGCCCGGCTAATTTTTTGTATTTTTAGTAGAGACGGCGTTTCACCATGTTAGGCAGGGTGGTGTCCATCTCCTGACCTGGTGATCCACCCGCCTCGGCCTCCCAAAATGCTGGGATTACAGACGTGAGCCACCACGCCCGCGCCATTTCTCTCATAATAACAGAAAAACTACACAGAAAATCTGCAAGGATATTGAAGAACCCCAAATCATCTTCAGGCAACAGAATTCAGTCACCATGTATAGAACAGTCCACACAAGAAAAGCAGAACACGCATTCATTTCAAATTCATACGTAACGTAGATCAAGATAGAACATACCTCATACCTTGGGCCTCAACAAATTTAAAAGAATTGACTGACATAGTATGATCCCTAACCACAATGAAATCAAACTAAAAATCAGTCACAGAAAGACAACAAAAATATCCAAACACTTGGAAAATGAACAACACACTACTAAATATTCCATAGGACAAAGAGAAAGCCTTAGTAGAGATCAAAAAAATAAATTAACCTGAATAAAAATGAAAACACAATGTATCAAAATTTCCAAGACAACTTAATCTCTGAGAGAGAAATTTACAGCACTAAGTGCATACATTAGAAAAGAAAAAAGTCGGCCAGGCGCGTGGCTCACGCCTGTAATCCCAGCACTTTGGGAGGCCGAGGCGCGTGGATTACAAGGTCAGGAGTTGGAGACCAGCCCGGCCAAAAAAAAAAAAAAAAAAAAAAAAAAAAAAAAAAAAAAGAAAGAAAAGAAAAAAGTCTCAAATCAGTCCTTTAAGCTCTTACTTGAAGAACTCAGGTGGGGGAAAATAACCCAAAGCAAATAGAAGAAAGGAAATGAGCAGAAATAAACGGAACTGAACACACACGCACAAAATAGAAAAACAAACAAAAAGCTAGTTCCTTTAAAAGATCAATAAAAGAAGACCTCTAGGAGGACTGATAATTTTTTAAGAAGAGAGATGACACAAATTGCCAATATCAAGAATAAAAAGAAGAGTATATCACTATAGACTCTGCTGACATCAAAAGGGTAAATGAATACTATGAACAACACTTTACACACAAATTTGAAAACTTAGATGAGATGGACTAATTCCTTGAAAATCACAAACTATCACAACTCACTCAATATGAAATATATTTTTCTATAACCTTGTAACTACTAAGGAAATTAAATTTGTGATATAAAAACTTTAAAAAAAAAACAGACTCTTCAGGTTCAAGAAAGTTTCACTGTATAATTCGTCGCCCCCGCCCTCCACCCCCTCCCCCAGAAGGAGTCTTGCTGTGTTGCCCAGGCTGGAATGCAGTAGTGCAATCTGGGCTCACTGCAACCTCCACCTTCCAGGTTCAAGCGATTCTCCTGCCTCAGCCTCCCAGGTAGCTAGGATTACAGGCACGTGCCAGCACGCCCGGCTAATTTTTGTATTTTTAGTAGAGATGGGGTTTCACCATGTTGGCCAGGCTGGTTTCCAACTCCTGGCCTCAGGTGATCCGCCTGCCCCGGCCTCTCAAAGTGCTGGGATTGCAGGCATGAGCCACCGCCTATGCCAATGTAGGCATATCTTAAAAGGATACATGACCTGGGGATACTTTGAGTATTCAGATTAATTAATTTTTAAAGTGTTTTTTAAATTCTCCCTTCTTACATCTTCTTTTCCTTCTGCCTTCAAGGGCTGTCACACGAAGAGTAGCGTAGGTGGATAAAAAAACAGAATGGTCAGTACCGCCTGGGGGATTTAGGTCCAGGTGAGGAGGTGAGAAGGTGGAATTCCCAGCTCTTAGAAATGAAGACCCAGGAAGTGGGTCGCTGCCTGTCCTTACCCTCGCCAGCCCCTGGGCCGGCACCGTGGCTGAAACCCAGCATGGATTTCATCTTGGGGACGTTGTGGCTCCAGTTTTGAGACTCAAGTAACGATGGATGGAGAGGAGAACAAGGACCACCTGAGCTCGACCACAAGAGCTCGAGGAGGGAAGCAGGGACGCGGTGGGGTGCGCACCTGCGGCTGCGGCAGCAAAGGCGGAGGAGGAGCGAAGTGGACGAGCACCCGAGGCTGCCAGAGGATCTGGGCAGCCTGGGTGCCCATCTCTGCTGCGTTTCCTCGGTGTCCACGATAGGTGAGAGGGCTCATTCCCTGTAGGAGAAGTGAGCTGAAAACACTTTCCCCGCAAGATCTCCCTCGTTTTACTCAAGGTAGTCGCGGCGTTGAGAACGCCTCGCAGCTCCTTTACTGGCTGGGGTACTGGGGAGCAGGGGTACCCTTGAGTTTTGGTACAGGCGGGTGGTATTGGTGGCTTCCGAGGAAAGGACAGAGAAGCCGCCTATTTCCAATCCCTACTGTTCGTCAGGGGGAGAGTGTTGAACCAGGTCTCTCTAGACCCTCCTGCTTAAGCCCCTTTGTTATAGGTAGGAGAGTGTGTTCTGTTTTGGTATTTGAGTGTGTGTGTGTGTGTTTAGCTTCTTGAGCTTGGAATATGTCATGAAATACAAGAAAGATCAGGGAGTCTCAGTATATTTTAAACTTAAATTGGTTTTCAGAAGTACTTATACCTTGTTCCTAAGGAATTCAGGGTGTCCAGATTTCAACCTGCCTAGCAGTGCGAAGCTCTATGAGTCGAATATCCTAGGCTTTCTTCCATATCAGCAAGCCTCTGAAATTTAGGTTTCTTTCTGGAGAATATCACCCACACTTTGGCAGTGGGCTCCTACATTGCCTACATCCAACTCTTGGAAGCAAGAAGAGTGGGCAAAACCAAGGTCACCACACAAAAGTATATCCCTACACGAGATAAGTGGAAATAAAGCACTGGCTTAGGTGTGGAGAGGAAGAGACAAATGTGAAAACGCAGAAGGTAGACAGACAGAGAACATCTTCCAAGGAGGAAGAGTCTCCTAACCACAAGGAACTCTCTACTTAATGCTGCGAAGATATTTTAATTACATTTTATGCATTAGATTGCTTTTTTTGTTTGTTTTTGTTTTTTGTTTTTGATGGAGTCTCGTTGTGTCACCAAGCTTGAGTGCAGTGGTGCCATCTCGGCTCACTGCAATCTCCGCTTCCCAGGTTCAAGGGATTCTCCTGCCTCAGCCTCCCCGTAGCTGGGACTACAGGCATGGCCATCATGCCCAGCTAATTTTTTATTCTCCTGCCTCAGCCTCCCCGGCCACCATGCCCAGCTAATTTTTGTATTTTTGGTAGAGACGGGTTTCACCATGTTGGCCAGGAATGTCTCGATCTCTTGACCTCGTGATTCACCCGACTTGGCCTCCCAAAGTGCTGGGATTACAAGCATGAGCCACCGCCCCCAGCCACATAGACTGGGTTTTTAACAACTGGATCTTAGACCAGAATATTGGCAGAATTGGTGGGGGCTTGACAGAGAGCAGGGTGAATTCCAACCCTGAGGGTGGAGCAAGAATGATTACAGTGTCTTCCTCAGAGCTTAGAAACTTCCAAGCTCTAAGGAAAGGCCTTAGGTTTCAAATTGAAAGGCCAAAATAGCTTGAGATGGCTCCAGGTATTTTGGCTGGAAAGAGTCTCCTGGCTCTAAAGAACCCCTGTGAGTTCTTCTACAGGAAAATCAGAGGCTCTTGTGTGTGATCTCTAGTCATCTAAAATATTGAAGGTCTCAAAGAGGTAATAAATCCACTCTCATCCTGATGTAATGCAAATACGTCACTGGCTTTCCTACGTGGTTTGAGTTTTTTATTGAAAATAGGCAGGGAACCCCGGGAGCAACTCTTTCTCCTTAGCAAGCATCTGGCCCTGAACTCCTTCTGAAACTTCTAGAGCAGTGCTTCTCAAACTTTAGCATCAGAGTCACTTGAGGGCTTATTCAACACAGGTGGCTGGGTCCCACTCTCATCAATTCTGATTCTGTAGATCTGAGGTTGGGCCTGGAATTTGACATTCCACTAGTAGCACCCTAATCCCTCATGCCTTGCTCTCCTGTGCAGCATCCTTTGTGGCAAACATGACACTATTTCCTTAAAGTGCCTGGAGAGAACCAGTAGATAGTAGGGGGGAAATATTAAGAAATGAAAAGAAAATATATGGCATCTCTTCGTTACCTGTCTCCAAAAAATGCATCTTGAAACAAACATATGATTGGCCTGGGGGCACACAGCCAATCCTCAGCTAAGCAGGTTTCACCAGACAGTATCCCTCCTGGATACTGGTTATGGATATTTTCACCGGATAAAAGAATCAAGAAGTGAGGACATCCCAGCCTGATAGAGTGTTAGACTGGTGGATGGTGACAAACATCATACTCTGTTGCCTCTCAAAGATGCTTTGATTCAACAGCAAACATGTACAGAGGACAGCAATTTTGAAACATACAACATTGGAAACCCCTAAAAGGTATCATCAGTGAATAGGATTTCCTGGGAGTTCCCTGGTCATGCAATGCAATTGTGATGGGATTGACAGAGAAAGAACAAAAAAAATTTGTTTTCTTTTGTTTTTACCTGAGGAAGTGCTCAACACACCTGCGATCCACTCACCTTTTACTTTGCGTCTATTTTCCATTGTGACAGAAAAACTTTTCCTACTTTTTCACATGAGTCCTCCGTTGGCTGTTAACAGAGGTTTCCAGGCAATGTTTTATTTTAACAAGGAAAATGGAATGGCTGAGGAAATACAGGAAAATGAATCAATTGTATCAGTAGGGAATGTTGATCCGTATTGGTTTCTGCTCCTCTCATGTTGAAGGTCTCTTATTCCCTGACAGTCTTTGTTCGGTCATCCAGCGTCCTTCCACTCCCATCTCAAGCGGCTGGAGAGCCACAGCAGTCCTTGTCTCAGTATTGGATTACACTTGTGGCTGTGCTTTCTGCGCAGGTTGACAGGGAGAGACTGGAGGAGAAATCAGTGGACAGATGCTTTCGCTCTGTTCTTTGGCCCAGAAAACAAAACTAAAGTAAAAAAAAACAAAAAACAAACAAACAAAAAAGATGATGCTGGGAGCGGTGGCTCACGCCTGTAATCCCAGCACTTTGGGAAACTGTGGCGGGTGGATCACCTGAGGTCTGGGGTTCGAGACCAGTGTGGCCAACATGGTGAAACCCCGTCTCTACTAAAAATACAAAAATTACCCGGGCCTGATGGCACGCACCTGTAAACCCACCTGCCGAGGCAGAAGAATCGCTTGAACCCGGGAGGCAGCGGTTGTAATGAGCCAAGATTAAGCCACTGCACTCCAGCCTGGGCTACAGAGCGAGACTCTGTCTCCAAAAAAAAAAAAAAAAAAAAAAGAATGGCCGCGGGGCGCTTTTCTCCCTTCTTCTTTGTCTTTCCTTCTCTTTAATCATAGCACAAAATGAGAGCAAATGTGAACCTCCCGTGGATGTGCACACTTTTGTTTGGGTTCAAGAGACCCTGTTGGGATCCCATTCTTCTTTCTTCCTCATTTCTTTTTCACCTTCCTTCTGCCGTCACAATCGCCTTCAGTGATGTCGAAGCTCACGGCATAGAAATGGGTTATAAATGGAGGCAACCCATTGGGTTACGTCTTTACTCTCTATATGTGCAGAAATAGGACAGAAAAAGGTGCGGAGGCAGAAGTAAGTCTATGTTGCTTGAGAATTAGGTTTGAGCACTACCAGAGCAAAAAGTCACCGTTTGGAGGTGCCGGGGATCGAACCCGGGACCTCATACATGCAAAGCATGCGCTCTACCACTGAGCTACACCCCCTTCCTGAAAAAAATCCTTCTTGTAATAATTTCCAGGAGGTAACTTTCTTTTTCTGAGTATTGTGGAGCGTCTGCAGCTGCTGTGAGTAGAAGATACTAGGTACTAACGGGGGATACAAATTATTTAGAATACAGTATACGACTTGAAATGGAAGGCGCCTGTAATCCCAGCTACTGGGGAGGCTGAGCCAGGAGAATCCTTGAACCCGGGAGGCGGAGATTGCACTGAGCCGACATCGCGCCACTGCACTCCAGCCTGGGCATCGGAGCGAAACTCAATCTCAAAAAAAAAAAAAATCACTTCCTAGGTTTCAGACTGTAAATAATTTATTTAATGTCAGCGCTTCATGGAAGACTTCACTGGAATATGCAACCAAAGCAGAGAGTGATGCATATATATATATATGCGTGTGTGTGTGTGTGTGTGTGTGTGTGTGTATTACCTTTATCGGATTTTCAACAGCAAAAAATTGGAGTTCTATACACCTTTCTGGGATTGGCATGCAAGTGTTGTATAAGGGTTGTATCAGCCGAGCGCTGTGTCTTACGCCTGTAATCCCAGCACTTTGGGAGGCCGAGGCGGGCCGATCACCTGAGGTCGGGAGTTCGAGACCAGCCTGACCAACATGGAGAAACTCCGTCTCTACTAAAAATACAAAATTAGCCAGGCGTGGTGGCGCATGCCTGTAATCCCAGCTACTCGGGAGGCTGAGGCAGGAGAATCGCTTGAACTCAGGAGGCGGAGGTTGCGGTGAGCCGAGTTCGCTCCATTGCACTCAGCCTGGGCAACAAGAGTGAAACTCCGTCAAAAAATAAATAAATAAACAAAATAAGGGTTCTATTAGGCAAAACTGAAAGAAAGAAAGAAAAAAAAAAACCCTGCCGAAACCCGGGATCGAACCAGGGACCTTTAGATCTTCAGTCTAACGCTCTCCCAACTGAGCTATTTCGGCTTCCCGAATTTGTTGTTTTAGGTGTTTCTTCAAAATATAAAAACTCATTTGTAGGGTCAGTATATCTTCCAATTCTGTTGTCTTCAATATCACCTGTCATTCACTCACCCCTTCACCCCCAAAATATAGATTCTTCCCCAATTTATGTCTGAAAACAGGACCCAATTTTAAGGACAATGAATGGGTTAGCAAAAGCCAGGGAAAGAAAAGGCAAAAATGAAGAATAGAGCAAAGTAAGAACATGCTCCCCTACATGGTCACTGCTCAGAATACCAAGGGAATTCAAAAGAAAATTTTCTAGGCTTTTCCTTTTCTCTGGGCTCTTGTTTTTCTGTCTTGCTCTTCAACGATATGGCAAAAAGGAACAGAGGATTATTGGGCACGTTAATGTGGTGGCAGGTTTATAGCTTCTGACTAAGGAAATCCTGAGCGAGAAAATTCATTTTCGCTATTCCCTTCCTTTCACTCGTCTTGTGCTGACACATCCACCTTGGGTGGTACAGAGACCCAGGGAGTGGAAATGGAAAGTATAATATGTTTATTTTAGTGTGACCACGCAAGGCATGTTTTTAAAAGGAGAAAAGTACAGAGTGGCGAGAATTGTGAAAAACAGATGAACATGTATGCTTTTGAACTCTGTGCAAGGCAAGGACACACTACCACTGAGCCACACCTCTCTCGCTACAGAAACATCGTGAAGATCTTTTTTGACGCATTAGTCATATTTCTGAGAGGTCTTCAAAAATATGGTAAGTTGGCCGGATAGAAAATCCACTGTCTCATATCTCACTATTTCTTACCTCTAAACTATATCCCCTGAAGCTGCTAGGAGAAATGTAAGAGAATCACAGACCAGAACACAGTTTCTGCTTTTGGAACATTTCATCCCATCAGTTTATTCTGAGGTTTCCTCTCCAGCAAACTGCCTGGGGGCATTTTCTCCCACAGCCAACAGGTAAGATGTCCAGATGGAACTTCCTCTGGGGTCTTCAACCTGTCTGTCTCCATTTCTTCTCTTTCATCTGCTTACAAAGTTTTTCAAGCCCCATCCTCCTTAAGAAAAGATGATGAGCCACAGTCTAGGAGAAGATATTCCAATACTTATATTTTACTAAGGATCTTTATCTGGAATATGTTAAGAACTTCTACAAAGCACTAAGAAAAAGACTAAAACTTCAATAAGAAAGAGCAAATTAATATGAACTTCACAAAAAATCGCTATTGAGTAAAATAAAATATGCTCGACATCTTTTGCTATAAAGGAAATGCAAATTAAAAACACAACAATGCTGGACACAGTGGCTCACGCCTATACTCCCAGCAGTTTGGGAGGTCGAGGCGGGTGGATCACTTGAGGTTAGGAGTTCAAGACCAGCTGGCCAACATGGCGAAACCCGGTCTCTACTACAAATACAAAAATTTAGACGGCCACATGCCCCTGTAGTCCCAACTACTCAGGAGGCTGAGGCATGAGAATCTCTTGATCCTGGGAGGCAAAGGCTACAGTGAGCCAAGATTGTGCCGCTGCACTCCAGCCTGGGCAGCACAGCAAGACACTGTCGAAAAAAAAAACACAAAATAATATTGCTCTTCATTGGAATCATTTAACCCAAAAAGTGGATAATATCAAGTGTTGCTGAGTATGTGAAGCAATTGGAACGTGCATACATGGCTGATGAGACTGTAAACTGCTATATCTACACTGGGAAACTATCTGAAAATATCAACTAAATATATATATATATATATATATATATATATATATATATATATATGCTATGACCCCAAAACTAGACGGTTACATTTATACCCAAGAGAAGTGCATGAGCATCTCCCTTGAAGGACATGTATCAGAATGTTTACAGCAGCATTAGACATTTCAACCAAAAACGAGGGGTGCTGCAAATGTACTTGGACAGTAAAATGAATTAATAAATCATGATGTACAGTATTCAGACAATAGAATACTCGAGAGCAACAGAAAATAACTACTGTTACTAGCAACAATATATAGAAAATGAAGGCTGGGCACGGAGGCTCACGCCTGTAATCCCAGCACTTTGGAAAGCTGAGGCGGGCAGATCACGAAGTCAGGAGATCGAGACCATCCTGGCTAAAACAGTGAAACCCTGTCTCTACTAAAAATACAAAAAATTAGCTGGGCGTGGTGGATGGCACCTGTAGTCCCAGCTACTCGGGAGGCTGAGGCAGGAGAATGGCGTGAACCTGGTAGGCAGAGCTTGCAGTAAGCCAAGATCGCGCCACTGCACTCCAGCCTGGGCGACAGAGCAAGTCTCCACCTTGAAAAAAAAAAAAAGAAGAAAAAAGAAAAGAAAATGAATCTAATTTTTTTAACAAAAATTAAGTGAAAGAATCCATACTCAAATGAGTACAGATTTGCTGTGGTTTGAAAGTGTCCCCTCCAAAGCTTAGGTGTCACCATGTGATAATTATCAAGACATAGGGCCTTTAAGAAGATTAAGCCATGAGGGTTCCTTCCTCATGAATAATATTAGGTACCCTTATAATAAGAGTTGACAAAGGAAGTTCATCTCTCTATTGCCTTCAGTTTTCTGCCATGTGAGAACACAACAAAAAGGCCATCACCAGACATGAGAGCCAGTGACTTGATCTTGAACTTCCCAGCCTCCAGAACTGTGAGAAAATGTTTCTGGGCCTGGTGCAGTGGCTGTCTCCTGTAATCCCAGGGTTTTGGGAGGCCAAGGTGGATGGATCACCTGAGGTCAGGAGTTCGAGACCAGCCTGGCAAACATGGTGAAACCCCATCTCTACTAAAAATACAGAAAAATTAGCTGGGCGTGGTAGCATTCGCCTGTAATCCCAGCTACCCAGGAAGCTGAGACAGGAGAATTGCTTGAATCCGGGAGGCAGAGGTTGCAGTGAGCCAAGACTGAGCCACTGCACTCCAACCTGGGCAACAAGAGTGAAACTCTGTCAGGAAGTGAAGGGAAGGGAAGGGAAGGGAAGGGAAGGGTTCTGTTCGTTACAAATTACCAGTCTTGAGTGATTTTGTAGCAGCCCAAAATAGACTACGATGATATTATATGATCCCATTTATATTATTTAAAACATAAGAAAAATAATCTATGGAGGTGGAGGTCAGAGAGTTAGGATAATTGAAATGAGGCAAAAGGCAGCTGTTGGTTGCTGAAAAATTCAGTATCTTGGCCTGAATTTTGGTTATATATAATAAGCCGTAAGCTGAATAGGTTTCATGTGTTTTATTTTATATAAATGAAGGCTTAAATTTAAATACAAGAAAAAAAAAGGTTTTCCTAAGTACTTCCTATCCTCCAGTACATTCTCTCTCTTCCTTAGGGTTGTTTTGTTTTGTTTTGTTGAGACGGAGTCTCGCTCTGTCGCATCCTCATGATTATTAGGACTTGGATGGACGGGATGGTACAGTGAGTCTAAGCGCCACATCCCTCCGTCGCTTCCTCTGGATATGAGGGAAGAAAGGTACTTTTTTTGTCCTTAGGGAGGAAGACTCGACCAGGAAGGGGACCTGGTTCGTTTCGGCTTCAAGAGCGCCTCTCCGCTATTTCCGTCGCTCAGCAGACCGGCTGAACTCTTTGGAGGAGAGAGTGATACTGGGTTTTGGTTTGCCCTTCAGGAACCGCTGATACTGTAGCTTCTGAGGGAGCTGCAGGGATTTCCCGATTTCCTGCGTGCCTGTGTTAAAAGTTAGAAGCGGGATCTGCTGGCAGCTTCGAAACTGAGCATGACGGTGGAAACATCTAATTTTATTAGTTTTTGCTTGAAATGCAAAAGATGAGAAAGAAAGTTTCCGTTTGTTTGCTCCACATATTTCTCTTAGAATGAAGCCGATTGAAAGTTAACTTCACCCTGAAGAAACTCCTCCTGGCGTTTGCAACGATCTCCTGTATGTCTCACGTCCAGCTTGACTCAAAAGGACTCTAAAGAGCTGGAGAGCGGCTGCGGAAAGGCGGAGTCACGGTACAATCGGTGTTAACTACTTGTGCAACCACCGCCTCCTTAGTCCTATTAGAGGCGCAGAGGCAGTATAGCTGAATCCCTCACAAGTCGAGTGGGTTGACCTCAGATTGACTTTAGCGATGGCTTGTGACCACCTGATAGATAGTGGCCGTTACAGCGTTTAGAAAGTGAGTAAAAGAAAGGATGCATAGGGAAGCCCACAAGTTTGCTTGGCTTCTGCAGATGGAGAGAGGTCGCTTTTCTGCCTTCTGGATGTTTAGTAACTTATTTTTTATTTCCTTTGTTGGCATGAAATAGAGCTGAAAATAAAAGCAGATTTTCTTTTAACAAGATAGTATTAAGATGCTTGCAGAGTATTTCTCTGTGGATTTCTGCTTGGCACTGTGATACCACAAAGAGCTCTAATCTGGAGGTATGGGTTGTTCCCTAGCTTAGAAGGAGGTCAATCCTGGAGAGTAAGTACTGTGAGGTACAAAAGGATCCTTTGGGATTGGAAAAATAAACGTTCATTACTTTTATTTATGTAAAACAGCAAAATGAGCTTTCTCCTATACTGATCTTGGTCCCTGGAGTTCAGAGTGTTTGCATCTCAGACCAGAAGCTTCCTCAGAGGACCCAGAGAAGTGCTTTTTACTTCCACCAAATTTCAGCTGAGGTGAATGCTGTCTTTTCGTCATTTGTTGTGTGTTTGTAGTTAAGTAGTTTAAGTTTCAGAGTTTGTGGGTCTCCAATGGAAAAGGTTACCACCACACATCAAACCATCAACCCCTGGCAGTGTAATCTTTTAGTGAAAGCTTGTAGGGCTTCTGCAACCTGGTTAGGAGGAGTTAGAAAAAGAAACAGAAAAAGACTTGAGCCTTTTAGCTTCTGATCTGAAATCAGACTTGGGCCACACAGGTCTATGGTTTCTGATGATTTCATTTACAGCTAGAAATTGGCTGGATGGCCAGGAATACTACTTGCTTCCCCCGTGCGTGGTCCATGTTAATGATTGATGGGACTGCTTAGAAAGAATAGGCGGATAATCCTAGGCAGCAAATAACCTCAAGTGAATGAACACGCATCACCCTCTGTATGAGAGAGAAATGCAGAGGCCAACACAATTCACCTTGACAGACAGAAAAATTTAAAGTTGGGGAATATCATGGACCGCTTCTTACTGGTGTCCCGGGGAAGAAAACACGGCCTGGAGGTACTGGGGATCGAACCCAGGACCTCGTGCATGCTAAGCACGCGCTCTACCACTGAGCTATACCCCCTCTGGACTCAGGGCCTTCGGAAAACGCTTTGGTGACGGCCAATATGTGAGCCTGCCCTCTGTGTCAGGATAATCACTATATGTTTCCAATTCCATTGTTAATTCCCTACATGAAGCGCTTCCTCTTTTAGGCACGGCTGGGCCAAAAGAAGAGTAGCTTAGCCGGGTGCAGTGGCTTATGCCTGTAATCCCAGCACTTTGGGAGGCTGAGGCGGGTGGATCACGAGGTCAGGAGTTCAAGACCAGCCTGGGCAAGATAGTGAAACCCTGTCTCTACTAAAAATAGAAAAATTAGCCGGGCGTGGTGACAGGCGCCTGTAATCCCAGCTACTCTGAAGTAGAGAATTGCTTGAACCCGGGAGGCAGAGGTTGCAGTGAGCCGAGATCGGGCCACTGCACTCCAGCTTGAGCGACAGAGCGAGACTCCGTCTCAAAAAAAGAAAGAAAGAAGAAAGAGAGAGAGAGAGAGAGAGAGAGACAGAAACAAAGAAAGAAAGAGAGAAATAAAGAGAAAGAAAGAAAGAGAAAAGAAAGGAAAGTAGCTTAGTGGTAAAAATAAAGGCACTGTTCCTGATTTGTGGTCAACCCAAGATCAACTCACCCCAAGGTGGACTCTCCATCACGTTAGACTTCCTGGAGCATACTTGCATTCTATCATTTGAGTGTGTCCCGGTATACAACATTCTCTTGCAAATTTTCTGATTATAACTTTCTGTATTCTTTTGACTCTTGGAAGCATGTTGGTGTTTCACATAGTCAAAAAATAAAACTGACTCAAGTGCGTGTGAAAATACCTTAAAATTCAATACGAATAGAGGCAAATTCAAATGGCGTTGTCTATCGCTTCTCGGCCTTTTGGCTAAGATCAAGTGTAAAATTGCATTGTGAAACAATAACATACTCCTACTTGAAAAGGAAAGAACTGATCTATGAAAATGGTTTATACAGTTTGTTGTTCTAATTGTAAGATTAAAAAGAATTGCAAACAAATCTTGAACTCTGTATCAGGGTTATTTTTGTAGAGCTAGGGCTGTAAGAATTCTGAGATTTTGTGTGAATTTTAGGATTGGGAAAATGAGTGTGTGTGACCGGGTGTGTTGGAACCAGGCTGTCACTGTAAGAGAAAGAAGGTAAAGAATAGTCCTGTTGGTGTTGATGAGAATTGGAGGCGTCAGTATGAAATTATACATATGTAATTTTATAGGCTGGGCGCAGTGGCTCACGTTTGTAATCTCAACACTTTGGCAGGCCAAGACGGGCAGCTCACTTGAGGTCAGGAGTTCGAGAACAGCCTGGCCAACATGGTGAAACCCCCGTCTCTACTAAAAATACAAAAATTAGCCGGATGTGGTTGTGCGTGCCTGTAGTCCCAGCTACTCGGAAGTCTGAGGCAGGAGAATCGCTTGAACTCAGGAGGCAGACGTTGCAGTGAGCCAAGATCCTGCCACCGCACTCTGGCCTGGGTGACTTAGACTTTGTCTCAAAAAAAAAAAAAAGTAAAATTTCCCTGCAGATCTGTCTGCTAACTGGGCCTGGAAGAAATACCTCAGAAACAATAAGCAAAGATAACAATATTTTGATTCACAAATACCATTCCCTACTAAAAGGCACCAGAGATACTAATAGAAAGTAGCTACTAGTGTCAACTACACTGACTCCAGGACTCATGCCACTGCACTACAGCCTGGGCGACAAAGCGAGACTCTGTCTCAAATAAATAAATAAATATGGAAGATGGGAAGATTTTCTTTACAGTGGTATGCCAGCTAATAAATGTGGAAAGAAGGATAAAATTTGCAAATCCCCATTAGAAAATTAGAAAATCTGGACACCATCAGAATGCTGATAGGTGCAGGCAAAATTATAAGTCAATGCTAAAAGTATAGGTAAAATTTTGATGAGGATCAGGATATTTATATAGTCTCAGAGTATTTCTCTAGAGCTTACTTATTGATTACAATGAGGAAGATGATACTTTTGCAGGGAAGAAATAGTAGTTACAAACTTAACCAAATGATGAAAGCTAACTTCACTAATAATGGGGAAAATTGGCATCACATGCTTCTTGGTGTGATAGAGGATAATATGATTTTTTGTGACATTTCTTCCAATTTCCATAAACTTAATCTTACCATGAGTAGGACAAATTAAGAAATATTCCACAAACCACTGGCATATACTCTTCAAAAACATTATCAAAGTTGTGAAAGACACAATTGAGCAACTGTTCTAAATTAAAGGAGACTAAAGAGTCAAGACAATTAGATTCATATGTGTCTGTGAAATGGATCCTAGCTTGGGAGAGAAATTTCTATAAAAGATTGTATTGATACAATTAGTTAAATTTTTATAGATTGTATATTAGATAATGCTATTTTATCAATGTTAAGTTTACTGAATTTGATAATTGTGCTGTGTTAAGGAACTGATCTTGTTTTAAGAAATACACATTGATGAATTTAGGGATTAAAAAGATATAATGTCTGAAAATCATCAAATAGTTTAGAGAAATAATCTTTGAGATCTCTCTCTGTGTCTCTCTCCATATATATATATGGAGTGTATATATATATATATATATATATATATATGGAGTATATATATATATATATATATGGAGTATATATATATATGGAGTATATATATATATGGAGTATATATATATATATGGAGTATATATATATATATGGAGTATATATATATATGGAGTATATATATATATATGGAGTATATATATATATATGGAGTATATATATATATGGAGTATATATGTATATATATATGGAGTATATATATATATGGAGTATATATGTATATATATATGGAGTATATATATATATATGGAGTATATATATATATATATGGAGTATATATATATATATATTCCATTGTTGCTGATTGTTTGGTTGAAGAGGCAAGATGGTCTGAAATGATCCCAAGATGTGGACAATATGTGCTTCTCATGTGGTTCCCATTCCATTTTAAATGTTTCCAGGCAGAAACAAAGATACAAATTTCTCAATTTGTATTCAAATCTAACAGGTGTTTTATTCTATTTTCCTGTTCACACTCCCTGTTTGGGAGTCAATCAACTAAGGACATCTGAAGGAAACAGAATTTAATTCTCAGAGTCAGGAGGTGATGAGAGACTGCTTTGGTAGGGAAAGTAATAGTAAATTTGTTCTTTCTTGGTTAAATAAAGAAGAAAAAGAAAGAAGAGAGGGAGGCAGGGAAAGAAATAGAAGACATAACAATCCTAAATATGTATCCACCAAACAGGAGAGCTGCAACATATGTAAAGATAAAAAAACAGAACTTTAAAAAAAAATAGACAAATCCACAATTACTTTGGAGACTTCAAAACTTCTCTCATAATGATTGATAGAACAACTAAACAGAAAATCAGCAAGAATGTTGAAGAACTAGGCCGGGCGTGGTGGCTCACACCTGTAATCCCAGCACTTTGGGAGGCCGAGGCGGGCGAATCATGAGGTCAGGAGATCAAGACCACCCTGGCTAACACGGTGAAACCCCATCTCTACTAAAAAATACAAAAAAATTAGCCGGGCGTGGTGGCGGGTGCCTGTAGTCCCAGCTACTCTGGAGGCTGAGGCAGGAGAATGGCGTGAACCCGGGAGGCTGAGCTTGCAGTGAGCCGAGATCGCGCCACTGCACTCCAGCCTGGGCAACAGAGCAAGACTCTGCTTCAAAAAAAAAAAAGAGTGTTGAAGAACTCAAACATCTTCAGCCACCAGAATTCAGTTAACATTTATAAAACAGTCCACACAGGAAGAGCAGAACACACTAGTCAAATCCACACTGAATATAGGTAAAGGTAAAACATATCCTGGGCCATAAAACAAACCTCAACAAATTTAAAAGAATTAACTAATATGGTATAATCCCTGACCAAAATGAAATTAAAGTAAAAATCAGTCACAAAAAGACAGAAAAATGTCCAAACGCTTGGAAAATGAACAACACACTACTAAACAGTTCATACAACAAAGAGAAAACCTTAGTAGATATCAAAAAATAAGGTAGCATGAATAAAAATGAAAATACAATATATTAAAAATTCCAAGATATCCTAAAGGAGTGCTGAGAGAGAAATATACAGCACTAAGTGCATACATTAGAAAAGAAAAAAGTCCCAAATCAGTCCTCTAAGCTCTTACTTGTAGAAATCAGGTGGGAAAAAGAGCAAAATAACCCAAAGCAAATAGAAGAAAGGAAATAATAAAAAATAAAAGCAGAAATCAGTGAAATGGAACACACGCACACACACACACACAAAAATAGAAAAACAAACAAAAAGCTAGTTCCTTTCAAGGATCAATAAAAGAAGAACTCTAGCAAGATAGAAATTTTCAGCAGAGAGATGACACAGTTTACCAACATCAGGAATAAAAAGAGGACATCACTGTAGACTCAGCTGACATCAAAAGGATGAAGGAGGCTGGGAATGGTGGCCCACGCCTGTAATCCCAGCACTTTGGGAGGCCGAGGTGGGTAGATCACTTGAGGTCAGGAGTTTGAGACCAGCCTGACCAATATGTCAAAACCCCGTCTCTACTAAAAAACAAAAATTAGCTGGGCATGGTGGCAGGCGCCTGTGATCCCAGCTACTCAGGAGACTGAGGCAGGAGAATCGCTTGAACTCAATAGGCGGAGGTTGCAGTGAGCCAAGATTGCACCACTGCACTTCAGCCTGGGTGACAGAGCAAGACTCCCTCTCACAAAAACAGAACAAAACAAAACAAAAACAAACAAAAAAGAAATGGTAAATCCAACCCCACCCCTGACATAATGCAACTACAAACCCCACTGGCTGTCCTACGTGGTTTAAGTTTTTGATTGAGAATAGGCAAGGAACCCCAGGAAAAAATCTTCCCCCTCAGCAGCCACCTGATCCTGGGACCTCCTTCTTAAACTTCTAGAACAGTGCTTCTCAAACTTTAGCATCAGAGTCACTTGAGGGCTTATTCAAACACAAGAGGCTGAGCCCCATGCTCAGCAGTTCTGATTCAATAGATCTGAGGTTAGGCCTGGAATTTAGCATTCTGCTTGCAGCACCCTAATTCCCCACCCCTTGCTCTCCTGTGCAGTGTCCGCTGTGGCTGACATGCCGCTGTTTGCCTGGAGAGAACCAATAGATGCCAGGAAATTAAAAAAGAAAAAGTATGAAACACAAAGAAAATACATGACACGTGGGTATTACCTTCCTCCAAAAAATGTATCTCAAAACAAACATGTGATTGGCCTGGGGGCACACACACAGCCAGTCCTCAGCTAAGCAGGTTTCACTAGACCGTATCC
Organism: Homo sapiens; assembly: GCF_000001405.40. NCBI lineage: Eukaryota > Metazoa > Chordata > Mammalia > Primates > Hominidae > Homo > Homo sapiens. The sequence goes on from NT_167246.2 coordinate 66,927, forward strand.
CTCCTGGATGCTAGTTATAGATACTTTCACTGGACAAAAGAATCAAGAAGTAAAGACATGCCAGCCTGATAGAGTGTTAGGCTGGTGGACTGGGAATAAACATTGTAGTTTCTTGTCTCTCAAAGACACTTTAATTCAACAATAAATAAATAAATATGTACAGAGAGAACAGCAGTTTTGAAACTGTATACCATTGGAAACCTTTAACAGGTACCATGAGTGCATAGAATTTCTTGGGAGTTCCCTTTTCAAAAAAAGCAGTTGTAATCAGATGGATCGAGAAAGAACATGAAATGTTTGTTTGGTTTTTTCCAAGGCAGAAAGCGCCCACACAATTGCGATCTACTTACCTTTTACTCTGCATGTATTTTCCATTGTGACAGAAAACCTTTCCCTGGTTTTTTCTTATGGGCCTCTGTTTGCTGTTACCAGAAGTTCCCAGGCAATATTACAGTGACTGAGGAAATGCAGGAATATGAATATGAATCAGTCTTATGGAATATCAGTAGGGAATGTTGATCCGTATTAGTTTTTGCTTCTTGCATGTTGAAGGCCTCTAATTCCCGGACAGTCTTCGTTTGGCCGTCCAGCGTCCTGCCACTCCTATCTCAAGTGGCTAGAGAGCCACAGCAGTCCTTGTCTCAGTATTGGATCGCACTTATGTCCCTATGTAGGTTGACAGGGAGAGACTGGTGTAGAAATGAGTGGACAGATGCTTTCGCTCTGTTCTTTGGCCCAGAAAACAAAAATAACTTAAAAAAAAAAAGATGCCCACTGGCATTTTTCTCTCTTCTTGGTCTTTGCGTCTCTTTAATCATAGTACAAAATGGAAGGCCGGGCGCGGTGGCTCACGCCTGTAATCCCAGCACTTTGGGAGGCCGAGGCGGGTGGCTCACGAGGTCGGCAGTTCAAGACCAGCCTGACTAACATGGTGAAACCCCGTCTCTACTAAAAATACAAAAAAATTAGCTGGGCGTGGTGGCGGGCGCCTGTAATCCCAGCTACTTGGGAGGCTGAGGCAGGAGAATCTCTTGAAACCGGAAGGCGGAGGTTGCAGTGAGCCGAGGTGGTGCGACTGCACTCTAGCCTGGGCAACGAGAGCAAAACTCCGTCTCAAAAAACAAAACAAACAAACAAAAACAAAACAAAACAAAACAAAATGGGAGCGAACGCAAGCCGCCTGTGAATGTTCATGCTTTTGTTTGGGTCAGGAGACCACTGTTGCGATCCTGTTCTTTCCCCCTCGTTACTTTTTTGTCTTCCTTCTGCTGTCGCAATCGCCTTATGTGATGTTGAGGCTCACAGCATAGAGGTTGGAGATAGTTCAAGGCAATGCATTGGAGTACATTTTTACTTACTATATGTGCAGAAATAGAATAGAAAAATGTGAGGAGGCAGAGGTCTGTCGCTTGAGAACTGCCAGAGGGAAACCATCACTTGGAGGTGTCGGGGATCGAACCGAGGCCTCATACATGCAAAGCATGCGCTCTACCACTGAGCTACACCCCCTTACTATAACACCCATTTGTAATAATTTTCAGGAGGTAACTTTCATTTTCTGAGACTCCGTGAGCATGCTGGTAATAGTGGTCAGTACCATAGAGCGTGGAGAGCTACTCTGAGCAGGAGATACTTGGTACTAATGGGGGATACAGATTCTTTAGAATACTGTGTAGGACTTGAAACGAAAAACGAAAGATTAGAAAAGTGTCAGATAATAACCACAAGAAGTTTCCTTTGTGGCCTGAAGACGTTGAGTTCTTAGGGTCTGCTTCTATTATGCTTGGCAAGAATCAAGTTCTGATTTTCGTTTCTTTTGATTTCTTCCAGATATAACACAAAGCCATTGAAATTCAGCCTTTTCCTGCCTAAAACGCTTCATAATTGTTGTTTGCTCAGTCGGAATATCAAAGGTAAGATTTGATAGAGGAAAGCCATGATCAGAAGAAAACCTGAGAGCGGTGCACTCAACATTTTTTCACAGGGGTCCTTAGCTGGCGTGGTGTCTTACTCCTGTACTCACAACTCCAGAGGCTGAGGCACGAGGATCGCTTGAACTTGGGAGTTAGCGATTGTAGGGAGCTATGATTGCACCACTACCCTCGAGCCCGGACAATGGAGTGAGAAAAGCAAGCAAGCAAGCAAGCAAGAGAAAGTGGGAGTGAGGGACGGAGGGAGGGAAAGAGGGAAGGAAGGGGGGAAGGAAGGGAGAAAGGAAGGAAGGAAGGAGAAAGAGGGAGGAAGGGAAGGAAGGAAAGGAGAGAGAGAGAGAAGAAGACGGGAGGTGAGGGGAGGGAATTCATAAGGCATAAATGAAAACCAGCTTTGGGGGTGGAGATGAGGGTTGAATTATGAGAGTAAGACGAAAGATAAATAGAAACAGGATTGAAGAGTAGTTCAGAAAAACAAACATGCTATTGCCAAAGACAAGCAGGCACAGAAAAGGGGAGGTTTTAACAACTCTTTCAGGAATGGGAGAAAGATTGAAAGATGGAGAAGATGAGTTAGTTTGGCTCATGCTAAATTTAAAATATCTGTGGGGCACGCCTGTGAGGATATTACACAGAGAACTCAGGCAATTAACTCCGTCTCCAGCCTGGGGTTTGTAAGCATTAGTAGTAGTAGACACATTACATGGAGGTGGATAAAGACTAAAAAGTGTACTTTGAGATATGGAAATTACAAACCTATTCGTGATATTTGTAGGCAACAAACAAGTTTTCTTCTAACTAGTTCTCGAATCTTGGGACTTATCACGGTGAGACTGGATTCTTTGAACTATATAAGAAGATGAGAAGAAAACCCATTTCTCGGAACCAAATTTCTGGTGACGATTAACTCTTTCTCATTCTGGTTTGCCCATATATGAGCCTTTGCCAATGTTAATAAAATAACATTGATCCATTTTAAAATTGGCAGATTGCAAGTTGTATGGCAGACTTGGCTTTTCAGTTGGCTGACGGGATTTCTAGAATAAAAATAGGAAACTGAGTAATAGGTTTCACTGAATGAGAGACTAGAGAAGCGTTACACACAAAATTCATATGTATTCATGTGTGTGCGTGTCTGCCTGTCTGTGTCTGTTTGTGTGTGCATGTAAATGCTTGGGAGGATTATCTTGACTCTTTGATGCTGTAAAAGCAATATTAGGACAGTTTGCAGAAACACTCCTTCATCCTTATGTCATGTCACAGCCAGAGAAACCTGGCTGTCTATCAGATTCTTGGGAATTCATAATAAGAAGATATGCTTTTTTGTTTGCCACATGAAAGGGGGGAATTTAAAATAATTAAATATCCATATCTATCTTCAGGCTATCTACCAACAACATGATTGAAACACTTTTTTTTTTGCGTATAATGTGTAGGATGAGCTTATTTATCACAGCATTCTTCTGAGGAATTAAACATTTAATTTTGAAGACAGAACACCCTCACGTCATACATACTCAGTTCTGAAAACCTAAAAATATATAAAGTACCTGTTTAAATCTGCACTTTCCAATATGGTTACCATTAGCCACATTGGCTATTGAATGCTTGAAATTGCCCAGTCCAAGGTAAGATGTGTTGTAAGTATAAAATATATACCAGATTTCAAAGATGCAATATCATTTTTAATATAAAATAACTCACTTATAATTTTAAGATGGATTACTTAAAATAATGTTGTTATACAAGGCCATTTACGTATATTATTAAAACTGGACATAAAAGACGGAAACAGTAAACATCGGGGACTACTAGGGAGTAGCTGGGAAGGGGAAAGGCTTGAAAAGCTAACTATTGGATACTATGCTCACTACCCGGGTGACAGGATTAATCCCACCCCAACCCCAGCATCATGCAATATACCCATGTAAGAATCCTGCACATGTACCCCCTGAATCTAACATAAAAGTTGAAATTATTTTTAAAATAATATAGAGACCGGGCTCGGTGGCTCACGCCTGTAATACCAGCACTTTGGGAGACCGAGGTGGGCGGATCACCTGAGATCGGGAGTTCAAGACCAGCCTGACCAACATGGAGAAACCTCGTATCTACTAAAAGTACAAAATTGGGGCCGGGCGCGGGGTCTCACGCATGTAATCCCAGCACTTTGGGAGGCCGAGGCGGGCGTATCACGGGGTCAGGAGATCGAGACCATCCTGGTTAACACGGTGAAACCCCAATTCTACTAAAAAATACAAAAAATTAGCCAGGCGTGGTGGCAGGCGCCTGTAGTCCCAGCTACTCGGGAGGCTGAGGCAGGAGAATGGCGTGAACCCGGGAGGCGGAGCTTGCAGCGCGCGCCACTGCACTCCAGCCTGGGCGACAGAGCGAGACTCCGTCACACACACAAAAAAAAAATTAGCTGGGGTGGTGGCGCGTGCCTGTAATCCCAGCTACTCGGGAAGCTGAGGCGGCAGGAGAATCGCTTGAACCCTGGAGGCAGAGGTTGCGGTGAGCCGAGATCGCGCCATTGCACTCCAGCCTGGGCAACAAGAGCGAAACTCCATCTACAAAAAAAAAAAAAAAAAAAAAAAAAAAGATATAGAATAAATATTGCCTGTTTTTTTTAATGTGACTACTAGAAAATTTAGAACTACAAAAGTGACTCGCATTTATGACTTGTGTTTTTTTAATTATTTTTATTCCGGAAGATAAAGTAGAAGACTTGTATTATCTTTTAATTGGACAGCATTGTCTAGAGATGATGTTATCTCTTTAAATGCTGTTCTGGGAGATTCCCAGAGCCAGAGAACATGGAGCATGGTCTCCCAGTAATTAAGTTTCATGCCTTGAGTGTTCTCGACAGAATGCATTTCTATGCATAATCTCCTTAGATCTTTACAACATCCAATTTAACATAATTATTATTAGCTACATTTTTAAGCTATTGAATAGAAGACAAATCATGCTTGGAATTACCCTAGACCTTCCCTTTCAACAGAATGTAAAGGAATCATTACCGTGTTAGGCAAGAAAACATTCAGTGCTACCATTTGACTAATCAAATATTTCTTAATGAAATGAAACACAAGCTTCTGAGTTGAGAAAGCCTCAGTGACCTAAAGGATAAAGTATCTGATTTACAGTTTCTGTAGAGTCAGTGTCCTCACCCTGAGGTTTCTTCTCATTTGGTACTAATTTTCCTTTTTCAACTTGCTGCAGTTCTGATGTTGAAGTACTGTAGATTGTTTAGTCTCCTCACACAGTATGCAGGAGTTAGGGGAAAATAACTCTCAAAATGAAACAGCAATTTGAAAGAAAAAAGGAGGGAAAAAAAAGACCCATTACCCCCCAACACAGTATTTCAACAGAGAAGTTGAAGTGGAAAAGGGAAAATGAGGCACATGCACCTGAATCTTGATGACTTTGCTGCCCATTTGCTTTCATTTTCAGTATTCTAAGGCCCCTCATGAATGTCTGACAGAATAATTCATATACAAGTACTTGTTTTTGTTCTTTCCTGGATTCCAACACAGAAATTAGTTAAGATTTGGAAATTCTGGACAAGGGTGCCAGGCTTCCTGTCAGTAAGAAAACTTAGAATATTCCTGTAATTAGGCCTGGTGTGGTGGCTCAAGCCTGTAATCCCAGCATGGTGAGAGGCAGAGGTGAGCCAGGATTTCCAGAAGAGCCAGGGCAACATGGTGAAACCCAGTCTCTACCAAAAAAATTAAAAAAAAAACAAAACCAAAAAACAAACAAACAAACAAAAAGCCAGGCTTGTTGTTGCATTTCTGTAGTCTCAGCTACTCAGGAGGTTGACATAGGAGGATCGCTTGAGTCCAGGGAGGCTGAGGCTGCAGTGAGCTGTGATCATACCACTGCATTCCAGCATGGGTGACAGAGTGAGACCCTGCCTCAGAAAAACAAAACAAAGCAAAAGTTATTTTTCCAGCAGTTTAACTGCGGAGCTATGGAGTTGACTCAAGGTACAAACCCGGTTTTTTCTAATTGCAAAATGTTTCTTGAATATACCACCACCACATATATACACTCATACAGTATAATAGTTCTTCTTCTACAGGTTTCTTCACATTTCTTGTGATTTAAAAACACCCCCGCCCAACACACATAAATAACATCAGATCAGAAATGAATTGTAAGTGCCACAGCATATAGCATATTGGAATTTCTTAGGTTTTAAAAGTAATAACTTGCTAGGTTTAAGACTTTAAATAATTTACGTCCTGTCAGTTAACACTTCATGGAAGTCTTCAGTGGAGAGAGTGTTACAAATATATATATATATATGTGTTTGTGTGTAAATATATATATATAGATGTGTGTGTGTGTGTGTGTGTGTGTGTGTGTGTGTGTATACATTACCTTTATGGAATTTTCAGAAAACAGCCAAAAAAAAGAAAAAAGAAAAAAGAAACAAAAAAACCACAAACACCTGGAGTTATATATAGACCTCTGGGATTGGTGCGCAAGCGCTGTGTTGAAGGAGTGACAATTATGCTAAAACCAAAATGCAACTGCCGAAACCCGGGATTGAACCAGGGATCTTTAGATCTTCAGTCTAACGCTCTCCCAACTGAGCTATCTCGGCCACCGTGATCCTACTGCTTTTGTCATTTCTTCAAAATACAGAAACTGCCATTTGTAGGGTCAGTGTATCTTCCAACGCCTAATTCTGTTGTCTTCAATATCACCCGTCATTCACTCACCTCCCCTCCACCCAAGAAATATAAGTTCTGCTGCAATTTATGTGTGAAATAGGATCCAATTTTCCCCAGCAAAAGATGGGAAAGAAAAGGCGAGGAATAGGTCAAATGAGGAAGATACTCCCATGCTTGGTCACCGTATAAAACACTGCTCAGAAAACTAAGGAATTCAAAATGAAATTATGTAGGCATTTCCTTTTCTCTTTTTTCGGATTTTCTTTTTCTGGCTTGCTCTTCAATGGCATGTCATAAAGGAACAGAAGATTAGTGGACACTTTAACACGGTAGTGGGCTTATAGCTTCCGAAAAAAGACATCCTGAGCGAGGTAGTTCTTTTTTTCTATTTTCTTCCTTTTACCAGTCTTGTGCTCACACATCCACCTTGGGTGGTACGGAGACCCAGGGAGTGAAAATGGAAAGTATAATATGTTTGTTTGTTTGTTTCTTTGTTTCTTTGTTTTGAGATGGAGTCCCGCTCTGTCTCCCAGGCTGGAGTGCAGTGGCACGATCTGGACTTAGTGCAACCTCCGTCTTTCAGGTTCAAGCGATTCTCCTGACTCAGTCTCTTCCAGTAGGTGGGATTACAGGCGCGCCCCACCACGCCCAGCTAATTTTTTTGTATTATTAGTAGAGACGAAGTTTCACCATGTTGATCAGTCTGGTCTCGCCTCGGCCTCCCAAAGTGCTAGGATTACAGGCTTGAGCCACCGTTCCCGGCCTATTCCTTGGAGTTCAGAGAATTGTGGTCTGCACATTGATGCATAAGAATTGTTTTTTTTTTTCCAGCTGGGTGCAGTGGCTCACGCCTGTAATCCCAGCACTTTGGGAGGCCAAGGCGAGCAGATCGCCTGAGGTCAGGAGTTGGAGACCAGCCTGTCCAACATAGTGAAACCCCATGTTGTCTCTACTGAAAACACAAAAATTAGCCCCGCGTCGAGGCGCGCCCCTGTAGTCCCAGCTACAGAATCTCTTGAACCCAGGAGGCAGAGGTTGCAGTGAGCCGAGATCACACCACTACACTCCAGCCTGGGTGACAGAGCAAGACTCCATCTCAAAAAAAAAAAAAAAAATTGCTTTTTACATACACATCTGTAATCATGAGATTGTATTTATTTATTTTTATTTTGACAGTGTCCCACTCTGCCAGACTGGAGTGCAGTGGCAATCTCCTCTCACTGCAACTTTCACCTCCTGGCTCAATCAGTTCTTCCACCTCAGCCTAGAAGTTTTATATCAATTCAAAAGTGTCAAGACATTGGACTCCTCTTGATAAATAACTTAAGAACAATTTAAGACGTTTACAGAATTTCAGAAACAGTTCTCTCTGGAATGAGGGAATTGCTATGGCCAATAATTACTTGCAAACTGAATTTTAATAAAACCCTCTCTATGTCTGGACAGTTTTCAAACTGAGTCTCCTATTCTGAAAGAGTCAAGGCTTTCAGTTTTAGCCAAAATTTGATGGAAGGGTCGATAAGAAATTGTTCTTGAAGCCAGGAGTGGTGGCTCACGCCTGTAATCCCAGCACTTTGGGAGGCAGAGGCGGGTGGATCACCTGAGGTCAGAAGTTCGAGACCAGCCTAGTCAACATGGTGAAACCCCGTCTCTACTAAATGCACATAAATTAGCCAGGCATGGTGGCGGGCGCCTATAATCCCAGCTACTCAGGAGGCTGAGGCAGGAGAATCGCTTGAACCCGGGAAGCAGAGGTTGCAGTGACCCGAGATCGCACCACTGCGCTCCAGCCTGGGCAACAAGAGCGAAACTTCGTTTCCCCCCCAAAAAATTGTTTCTGGATGATTAGATGATTTCCTAAAAATTAAATAAATAAAATTTATAAAATTATGTTCGCTTTCAGTCTTTGTCTTGTCCTCCCGCTTGTAAGGTCCGAGCCTTCTCAGACAGGAAACAACATTCCTCTGGGTTTATCCCCTCCGCCTCACGTCTCTCCCCAGCTGGGCGCAGCCTCAGCCTATGCTGCAGAAATGTTAAAAGTTGAACATACAGAGAGGAAAAAAATGGAACGTGATGCGGAAATTAAAACAGCAGCTACATATAAATCTCAACACAGTGCTTAAAATGTGTGTAAATGGTTCTAGGACTGCGCTGCACTATTGTGAAAAGTTCATTCAGAAGTAAATGGGAGGGAAGGTGGAGAGGAGCTGAGCGCCAGCTGGCGGAGAGAGGGAAAAGGAGGGGTGCCGTGAAGTGGAGGAAGAAAAACACAAATGGGAGAGAGATAGAGGGCAAGGAAAAGCATCCTTAAGATGATTCGGACTTGGATGGACGGGACCGTAGAGTGAATCTAAGCGCCACATCTCTCCGTCGCTTCCTCTGGCCGTGAGGGAAGAGAGGTGTCCCTAGGGAGGTAGGCTGGACCAGGAAGGAGACCTGGTTCGTTTCGCCCAGGCTGTCACGGCTTCAAGAGCGCCTCTCCGCTATTTCCGTCGCTCGACAGACGGGCTGAGCTCTTTGGAGTGATGTTGGGTTTTGGTTTGCGCCTCAGGAACCGCTGATACCGTAGCTTCTGAGGGAGCTTCAGGGATTGCCTGGCTTCCTAAGTGCCCGTGTTGAGAGTTAGAAGCGGGATCTGCCGGCAGCTAAGAGACTGAGCATGACGGCGGAAACATCTAATTTTATTAGTTTTTGCTTAAAATGCAAAAGATGAGAAAAAGTTACCGTTTCTTTGCTCCATATATATCTCCTAGAATAAAGCCAATCGAAAGCCAACTTCACCCTAAAGAAACTCTTCCTGGCGTTTGCAACGAGCTCCTTTACTCCTAACGTCCAGCTCTTGGCTCAGGACCTGCAGAGCGTCACAGCTGTTGCAGAAAGGCGAAGTCGAGGTACAATCGGTGTTAACTACGTGTGCAGCCACCGTCTTCTTAGTCCTGTTACAGGTGCAGAGGCAATATAAGTGAACCACTCACAAGTCGTGTGGGCTGACCTCAGATTGAGTTTAGCGATGACTTGTGACCACCTGGTAGATGGTGGACCGTTACAGCATTTAGAAAGTGAGTAAAAGAAAGGATGCATACGGAAGCCCACACGCTTGCTTGGCTCCTGCAGATGGATAGAGGTCACTTTTCTGCCTTCTGGGTGTTTAGTAACTTATTTTTTTTTTTGCTTTGTTGGCATGAAATAAAGATGAAAATAAAAGCAGATTTTCTTTTAACAAGTTAGTATTAACATGCTTGCAGAGTATTTCCCTGTGGATTTCTGCTTAGTACTGTAATACCAGAATCAGAAACTCTACAAAGAGCTCTCTAATCTGGAGGTATGGGTTGTTCCCTAGCTTAGAAGGAGGTTATTTCTGGAGAGTAAGTACAATCAGGTAGAAAAGGATCCGTTGGGCTTGGGAGAATAAACGTTCATTACTTTTATTTATGAAAAACAACAAAATGAGCTTTCTCCTATACTGATCTTGTTTCCTGGAGTTCAGAGTATTTGCATCTCAGACCAGAAACTTCCTTGAGGACCCAGAGAAGTACTTTTTACTTCCACCAAATTTCAGCTGAGGTGACTGCTATCTTTTCATCATTTGCCTTGTGTTTGTAGTTAAATAGTTTAAGTTTCAAACTATGTGGGTCTCTAATGGAAAAAGTGACCACCAGCACATCAAATCATCAACCACCGGCAGTGTAATCTTTTAGTGAAAGCTTGTAGGGCTTCTCAACCTGGTTAGAGGGAGTTAGAAGAAGAAACAGAAAAGGACGTGAGCCTTTTTAGCTTCTGATCTGAAATCAGACTTGGGCCACACAGTTCTATGGTTTCTGATGATTTCATTTACAACTAGAAATTGGTTGCATGGCCAGGAATACTGCTTGCTTCCCTCGTGCGTGGTTCATGTTAGTGATTGGTGGACTGCTTAGAAAATATAAGTGGATAATCCTAAGCAGCAAATAGATTCAAAGGAATAAACACGAGTCACCTCTGTGTATGAGAGAGAAATGCAGAGGCCAACACAATTCACCTTGACAGACAGAAAAATTTAAAGTTGGGGAATATCATGGACCGCTTCTCACTAGTGCCCGGGGAAGAAAACAAAACCTGGAGGTATTGGGGATTGAACCCAGGACCTCGTGCATGCTAAGCACGCGCTCTACCGCTGAGCTATACCCCCTCTGGAAGACTTGCCTTTTAGAGAATATTTTGATGACTATTATTGTCTGAGTCTGGGCTCTGTGTCATGATAATCTTTATGTTTTCAATTCCACTCTCAATTTCCTACAGGAAGTGTTTCCTCTCTTAGGCCCTGCTACACCAAAAGAAAGGTAGCTTAATAGTACAAATAAAGGCACTGTTCCTGATTTGTGGTCAGTCCAAGATCAACTCACCCCACGGTGGGCTCCCCATCGCGTTAGATTTCCTGGAGCATACTTGCATTCAATCATTTGAGTGTGTCCTGGCATACAACATTCTCTTGCAAATTTTCTGATTATAATGTTCTGTATTCTTTTGACTCTTGGAAGCGTGTTAGTCTCACATGGTCAAAAAATAAAACTGACTCAAGTGTGTGTGAAAATACCCTAAAATTCAACACAAATAGAGGCAAATTAAAACTGCATTGTGAAAGAATAACATAACCCCATTGAAATAACTGATTTAAGAAAATGCTTGACAAAGTTCGTTGTTCTAATTGTAAGTACAAAAAGAAGAGGAAACAAATCTTAAACTCTATGTATGAGGGTTTTTTTTTTAGAGCTAAGGCTGCAGGAATTCTGAGATTTTGTGTGAATTTTAGGATTGGGAAAATGAGTGTGTGTGAGCGCGTGTGTTGTTGGAAACAGGCTGTCACTGTAAGAGAAAGCAGGTAAAGAATAGTCCTGTTGGTGTTGATGGGAATTGGAGGCATCAGTATGAAATTATACATATGTAATTGTATAGGCCGGGCGCGGTGGCTCACGCTTGTAGTCTCAGCACTTTGGGAGGTTGAGACGTGTGGATCGCTTCAGGTCAGAAATCGAGAACAGCCTGGCCAACATGGCAAAACGCCGTTTCTCCTAAAAATACAAAAATTTGACGGGTGTGGTGGCCGCCCCTGTAGTCCCAGCTATTCGGGAGGCTGAGGCAGGATAATCGCTTGAATTCGGGAGGCGGACGTTGCAGCGAGCCAAGATCGCACCACCGCACTCCAGCCTGGGCGACTAAGACTCTGTCTCAAAAAATAAAAATAGTACATTTTCCCTACAGATCTGTCTGCTAACTGAGCCTGGAAGAAATACCTTAGAAACAATGAGCAAGATGACTCTATATTTTGATTTTCAAATACCATTCTCTACTAAAAGGAACCAGAGATACTAATAGAAAGTAGCTACTAGTGTCAACTACACTGACTCCAGGACTGTGCCAGGGAAACTACAAGATGAACCTAAAATATCTTGCTGTGCCAGAATGATGGGGATGATTTAAAAGAACACAGAAGCTCCGGGGTGGCTCACGCCTGTAAACCCAGCACTTTGGGAGACCGAGGCGGGCGGATCACCAGAGGTTAGGAGTTCCAGACCCGCCTGGCCAACATGGTGAAGTCCCGTCTCTACTAAAAATACAAAAAATGGCCTGGCATGGTGGCTCATGCCTCTAATCCCAACTACTTGGGAAGCAGAGGTAGGAGAATCGCATGAACCCGGGAGGCGGAGGTTGCAGTGAGCCGAGATCGCACCACTGCACTCCAGCCTGGACGACAGGGCAAGACCTGTCTCAATAAATAAATAAATAATAAAGTACATGAGAAAAATAATAGTGTGTGTGTGTGTTTAGCCGTAAAGAGAGAGGAGAATCATTGTGGCAAAATATCGGGAATTGGTAAATATGAGTAACTTGTGTGTGGCAGTTCTTTGTATCATTTTTGCAACTTTTCTGTAGGTTTGAAATAATTTCAAACTAAAAAGGTTTTTCTAAATTCTCCCTTCTCAAATTTCTTTTCCCTCTTCCTTCAAGGGCTGTACTCTTCTATCAAGAGTAACGTAGATGGATACTAAAACAGAAGGGTCAGTACCGTCTCGGGGGATTTAGGTGCAGGTGAGGAGGTGAGAAAGTGGAATTCCCAGCTCTTAGAAACGAAGACCCAGGAGCGTGGGTCGCTGCCCGTCCTTACCCTGCCAGCGCCTGGGCCAGCACCATGGTCGCGAAACCCAGCATGGATTTCGTCTTGGGGACGCTATGGCTCCAGTTCTGACACTCAAGAAACGATGGATGGAGAGGAGAACGAGGACCACCTTCGAAAAGAGTTCGAGAGGGAAGCAGGGACGCGGTGGGGTGCGCACCTGCGGCGGCGGCGGCAAAGGCGGAGGAGAAGCGAAGTGGGCGAGCGCCCGAGGCTGCCAGAGGATCTGGGTGGGCCGGAAGGCGGAGTGCAGCCCGGAAGCCCATCTCCGCTGCTTTTCCTCGCTGTCCGCGATAAGCGAGAGGGCTCATTCCCTGTTGGAGAAGTGAGCTGAAAACACTTTCCTCGCAAGATCTCCCTCGTTTTGCTCAAGGCAGTCGCGGCGTTGAGAACGCCTCGCAGCTCCTTTACTGGCTGGGGCACTGGGGAGAACGGGTACCCTTGAGTTTTGGTACAGGCGGGTGGTATTAGTGGCTTCCAAGGAAACGACAGAGAAGCCGCCTATTTCCAATCCCTACTGTTAGCGAGGGGGAGAGTGTTTAACCGGGAAGAGAGACCCTCCCGCTGAAGCATAGGGTCCTTTGTTATAGATAGGAAGAGTGTTCTTTGCTTTTGTTTTTGTTATAGCTTGTCAAGCTTGGAATACAAGGCATGAAAAACAAGAAAGGTAAGGCAGTCCCAGTATATTTTAAACTTACGAGGGTTTTCAGAAGGAGTACTACCTTGTTTTTATGGAATTCAGGGTGTCCAGATTTCAACCTACCTAGCAGAGTGAAGCTCTATGAGTCTAATATCTTGGCTTTCTTCCACATCAGCAAGCCTCTGAAATTCGGGTTTCTTTCTGGACAATATCACCTACATTTTGCAGTCGGCTCCTATATTGCCTGCATCCAACTCGTGGAAGCAAGAACAGTGGGAAAAGCCAAGGTTACCACATAAAAGAAGATCCTTACATGAGACAAGTGTAAATAAAGCAGCAGCTGAGGTGTGTGTAGAGGAAGAGACAAACGTGAAAATGTAGAAAGTGGATACAGAATTTTTTCCAAGGAGGAAGAGGAATGGTCTGCTCACAACGAGGAACTCTCTACTTACTGCTGCAAAGATACTTTTATTACATTTCATGCATATGCTGGATTTTAACAACCAGAACATTGGTAGACTTGGTGGGGGCTGGAGAGACAGCAGTCACTCCCAACCCTGAGGATGAGTCCTCACCCTGAGGGTGGAGAGAAAATGATTACTCTCTGCCACAGGGCTTAGAATCGTCCAAGCCTGGGTTTCAAATTGCAAGGCCCAAATAGCTTGAGAGAGCTCCAGGTATTTCAGCTCAAAAGAGTCTCCTGGTTCAAGAGAATTCCTGTGAGTTCCTCCACAGGAAAATCAGTCTGTTGTGTGTGACCTGAAAAGTTGCATAAATATTCAAAGGGTCAAAGAAATGGTAAATTCAACCCCATCCCTGACATAAGACGAATACAAACCTCACTGGCTTTCCTAGGTTTGTGTTTTTGATTGAGAATAGGCAGGGAACCCCAGGACCAACTCTTCCTCCTCAGCAGGTGCCTGACCCTGGGACTTCCTGAAACTTCTAGAGCAGTGCTTCACAAACTTTAGCATCAGAGTCACTTGAAGGCTTATTCAAACACAGGAGGCTGAGCCCCATCCATACTCAGCAGTTCTGATTCAATAGACCTAAGGTTGGGCCTGAAATTTATTATTCTGATTGCAGCACCCTAATCCTCCACCCCTTGCTCTCCTATGCAGTGTCCACTGTGGCTAACATGCCACTGTTTGCCTGGAGAGAACCAATGGATACCAGGAAATTAAAGAAGAAAAAGTATGAAACAAAAAGAAAATACATGGCATGTGTGTATTACCTTCCTCCAAAAAATGTGTCTCAAAACAAACATATGATTGGTCTGGAGGCACACACACAGCCAGTCCTCAGCTAAGCAGGTTTCATCAGACAGTATCCCTCCTGGATGCTGGTTATAGATATTCTCACTGGACAAAAGAATCAAGTAAGGTCATGTTAGCCTCATAGAGTGTATCTATCATGCCAGCCTGATAGGCTGGTGGACTAGGAACAAACATCATACTCTCTTGCCTCTCAAAGACACTTTAATTCAATAGGAAATATGTACAGAGAGAACAGCAGTTTTGAAACCATACACCGTTGGAAACCATAAAAGGTTTCATGAGTGCATAGGATTTCTTGGGAGTTCCCTCTCCAAAAAAAGCGATGTAATCAGGTGGATCGAGAAAGAACATGAAATGTTTGTTTGTTTTTTCCCAAGGCAGGAAGTGCCCAACACACCTGCGATCTACTTATCTTTTAGTCTGCATGTATTTTGCATTGTGACAGAAAACCTTTTCCTAGTTTTTCATATGGGGCCTCCGTTTGCTCTTACCAGAAGTTCCCAGGCAATATTTTATTGTAAAGAGGAAAATGGAGTGACTGAGGAAATACAGGAATACAAATCAGTCTTATGGAACATCAGTAGGGAATGTTGATCCGTATTGGTTTCTGCTTCTCGCACGTTGAAGGCCTCTAATTCCCCGACAGTCTTCGTGTGGTTATCCAGCGCCCTGCCACTCCCATCTCAAGCGACTGGAGAGCCACAGCCCTTGTCTCAGTACTGGATCACACTGGTAGCTGTGTTCTCCGCGCAGGTAGACAGGGAGAGACTGGTGGAGAAATCAGTGAACAGAGGCTTTCGCTCTGTTCTTTGGCCCAGAAAACAAAAATAACTTAAAAAAAAATAGATGCCTTCAGGGCGCTTTTCTCCCTTCTCCTTTGTCTTTGCGTCTCATTAATCATAGTACAAAATGGGAGTGAAAGCGAGCCGCCTGTGAATGTGCACGCTTTTGTTTGGGTTCAAGAGACCGTGTTGCGATCCCGTTCTTCTTTCCCCCTCATTTCTTGTTTGTCTCCCTTCTGCTGTGGCAATCGCCTTTGGTGATGTCGAGGTTCACAGCATAACCAGTGGAGATAGTTCAAGGCTGAACATTGGGCTACACTTTTACTGTCTATATGTGCAGAAATAGGATAGAAAAACGTGAGGAGGCAGAAGTCTGTCGCTTGAAAACTACCAGAGCAAAACCATCGCTTGGAGGTGTCGGGGATCGAACCCGAGGCCTCATACATGCAAAGCATGCGCTCTACCACTGAGCTACACCCCCTTACTATAAGGTCTCTTTGTAATAATTTTCAGGAGGTAACTTTCATTTCCTGAGACTCCGTGAGCATGCTGGTAGTAGTGGTCAGTATTATGGAGTGCGGAGAGCTGTTCTGAGCAGGAGATACTTGGTACTAATGGGGGATACAGATTCTTTAGAATACTGTGTAGGACTTGAAACGAAAAACGAAAGATTAGAAAAGTGTCAGATAATAACCACAAGAAGTTTCCATTGTGGCCTCAAGACGTTGAGTTCTTAGGGTCTCCTTCTATTATGCTTGGCAAGAATCAAGTTCAGGTTTTCGTTTCTTTTAATTTCTCCCAGATACGACACAAAGCCATTGAAATTCAGCCTTTTCCTGCCTAAAACGCTTCATAATTGTTGTTTGCTCAATCGGAATATTAAAGATAAGATTTGATGGAGGAAAGCCACAATCAGAAGAAAACCTGACAGCGATGCACTTAGCATTTTTTCATAAGGGTCCTTAGCTGGCGTGGTGTCTTACGCCTGTACTCCCAGCTACTCTAGAGGCTGAGGCACGAGGATCGCTTGAGCTCGGGAGTTAGTTGTTGTAGGGAGCTATGACTGTGCCACTGTCCTCCAGCCTGGGCAACAGAGAGAGAAGGGAAGGGGAGGGGAGGGAAAGGGGGAGAAGAGGGGAGACGAGGGGAGAAGAGGGGAGGGGAGGGGAAGGGATTCATAAGGCGTGAATGAAAAACAGCTATGGGGATGGAGAGAAGGGTTGAATTATGAGAATAAGACCGAAGATAAATACAAACAGGGTTGAAGAATGCTTTAGAAAAACAAACACAGCAGGTGCAGAAAAGGGGAGAGGTTTTAACAGCTCTTTTAGGAATGAGAGATAGACTGGAAGATGGAGAAGATGAGTTAGTTTGGCTCATACTCAATTTAAAGTATCTGTGGGGCACACTTGTGAGGATGTTTCTCAGAGAATTCAGGCAATTAACTCTGTCTCTAGCCTGGGATTTGTAAGCATTAATAGTAGTAGACACATTACATGGAGGATGGATAAAGACTAAAAAAGTGTACTTTGAGATATGGAAATTACAAACCTATTCGTGATATTTGTAGTGAACAAACAAGTTTGTTTGTTCTTGAATTCAAAAGTTCTTGAATCTTGGGACTTATCGTGTGTCCTTTGAATTACATAAGAAGATGAGAAGAAAACCTATTTCTCAGCACCAAATTTCTAGTGACTATTAACTCTTTCTCATTCTGGTTTGCCTATATAAGAGCCTTTGCCAATGTTAATAAAGTAACATTGATGGCTTTCAAAATTGCCAAATTGCAAGTTGTATGTCAGACTTGGCTTTTCAGTTGGCTGATGGGATTTCTAGAATAAAAATAGGAAACACTGAGTGATAGACTTCACTGAAGGAGAAACTAGAGAATTGTTATAGACAAAATTGATGTGTATTCATGTGTGTTTGCCTGCCTGACTGTGTCTGTGTGTGTGCATGTAAATGATGGGAAGGATTATCTTGGCTCTTTGATGCTGTAAAAGCAATATTAGGACAGTTTGCAGAAACTCTCCTTCATCTTTATGTTGTGTTACACCCAGAGAAACTTGGCTGTCTATTGGATTCTTGGGAATTCATAATAAGAAGGTTGCCTCATAAAAATGGGAGAATTTTAAATAATTAAATATCTGTAGCTATCTTCAGACTATCTACCAGCAACACGATTGAAACATGTTTTTTGTGTGAAATCTGTAGGATGAGCTCATTTAACATAGCATTCTTCTGAGAAATTAAACATTTAATTTTGAAGACAGAACACCCTGTCATACACACTCAATTTCGAAAACCTAAAAATATATAAAGTATATGTTTAAATCTGCACTGTCCAATATGGTTACCATTAGCCACATTGGGTATTGAGTACTGAAAATTGCCTAGTCTAAGTTAAGATGTGTTGAAAGTGAGAAATATATACCAGATTTCAAAGATGTAATTTTTTTTTCATGGAGTCTCGCTCTGCCACCTAACCTGGAGTGCAGTGGTGCAATCTTGGCTCACAGCAACCTCCACCTGTTGGGTTCAATCCATTCTCCTGCCTCAGCCTCCTGAGTAACTGGGACTACAGGCGCGCACCACCATGCCTGGCAATTTTTCTTTTTCTTTTTTTTTTTTTTTAGTAGAGACAGGGTTTCACCATGCTGGCCAGGCTGGTCCCAAACTCCTGACCTTGTCATCTGCCCTCCTCGGCCTCCCAAAGTGCTGGGATTACAGGCATGGGCCGCCGCACCTGGCCAGATGTAATATCATTTTTTAAACATAAAATGTCTCACTGATAATTTTAAGATTGATTACTTGTTAAAATAATATTTTGGACATGCAAGGTGATTTACATATATTAGTAAAACTGGACATAAAAGATGGAAACAATAGACACTGGGGACTACTAGAGGGGGAGGCGAGAAGGGGAAAGGCTTGAAAAGCTAACTATTGGATACTATGTTCACCACCCAGGTGATGGGATTAATCTCACCCCAACCCCAGCATCATGCACTATACCCATGTAACAAACCTGGACATGTACCCCCTGAATCTAAAATAAAAGTTGAAATTATTATTATTAGTATTATTATTTTGAGACAGAGTCTTGCTCTGTCTCTCAGGCTAGAGTACAGTGGCGCTATCTGGGCTCACTGCAAACTCCTCCTCCAGGTTTCAAGTGATTCTCCTATCTCAGACTCCCAAGTAGCTGAAATTACAGGCATGCACCACCACACCCAGCTAATTTTTGTATTTTTATTAGAGACAGGGTTTCACCATATTGGTCAGGTTGGTCTTGAACCCCTGACCTCAGGTGTTCCGCGCACCTCGGCCTCCCAAAGGGCTGGGATTACAGGTATGACCCACCTTGCCTATCTAAAAGTTGAAATTGTTAAAAAATTATATAAAATAAGTATTGCCTGTTTATTTTTTAAATGTGACTACTAGAAAATTTAAAACTACAGAAGTGGCTCTCATTTAAGATTTGTATTAACTTTTTTAAAAATTCTTTTTATCCCAGAAGCTAAAGCAGAAGACTTGTAGTATCTTTTGATTGGACAGCATTGTCTAGAGACGATGTTATCTATTTAGGTGCTGTTCTGGGAGAATCCCAGAGCCAAAGGACATGGAGCATGGTCTGCCAGTAATTAGGTTTCATGCCGCGAGTGGACTTGACTAAATGCATTTCCATGCATGATCTCCTTAGACCTTTGCAACATCCCATTTTACATAATCATTATTAGCCTCATTTTTAAGGTATTGAATGAGAGACGAATCATGCTTAGAATTACCCTAGGCGTTTCATTTCAACAAAATGTAAAGGAATCACTACTGTGCTAGGCAAGAAAACATTCAATCCTGCCATTTGTCTAATCAAATGTTTCCTTTTTTTTTTCTTTTTTTAAGACAGAGTCTTGCTCTTGTTGCCTAGGGTGGAGTGCAATGTTGCGATCTTGGCTCACTGCAACCTCCGCTTCCCGGGTTCAAGGGATTCTCCTGCCTCAGCCTCTCGAGTAGCTGGGATTACAGGCATCCACCACCACACCCAGCTAATTTATTATTATTATTATTATTATTGTTATTATTATTATTTTGTATTTTTAGTAGTGACAGGGTATCACCATGTTGGCCAGGCAGGTCTTAAACTTCTGATCTCAGGTGATCTACCCGCCTCAGCCTCCCAAAGTGCTGAGATTACAGGCGTGAGCCACCACGCCCAGCCTATCAAATATTTCTTAATGAAATAAAACACAGGCTTCTGAGTTGAGAAAGCCTCAGTGACTTAAAGGGTAAAGTATCTGATTCCTAGTTCCTGTACAGTCAATGTCCCCACCCTGAGGTTGGTCTCTCATTTGGTACCAATTTTCCTTTCACAATTTGATGCAGTTCTGATGTTGGAGTACTGTAGTTTATTGTCTCCTCACACAGTATGCAGGTGTTAGGGGAAAATAACACTGAAAATGAAACACCAATTTGAAAGAAGAAAAGATATTAAAAATGACCAAAAAAAATCAGACAAAAAAAAAAAAAAAAAAACAGGACAAAAAAGGCCCATTATCCCAACACAAAATTTCAAGAGAGGAGTTGAAGTAAAAAAAAGGAAAATGGGGCACATCCACCTGAGTCTTGACAGAATAATTAATTTAGAAATACTTATTTTTGACTGGACGCAGTGGCTCACATCTATAATCCCAGCACTTTGGGAGGCCGAGGCAGGTAGATCACGAGGTCAGGAGTTGGAGACCAGGCTGGCCAACATGGTGAAATCCCGTCTTTACTAAAAATACAAAAATTAGTCAGGCATGGTGGTGGACGCCTGTAATCCCAGCTGCTTGGGAGGCTGCAGCAGGAGAATTGCTTGTGCCGGGGAGGCGGAGGTTGCAGTGAGCTGAGATCGTTCCACTGCACTCTAGCATGGGTAACATAGCAAGATTCTGTCTCAAAAAAAAAAAAAAAAAGAAAAAAGAAAGAAAGACTTATTTTTGTTCTTTCCTGGATACCAATGAGGAAATAACTTAAGATTTGGAAATTCTAGGCAAGGTTTCCAGGCTAAAGAAATGTCCTGTCAGTAAGAAACTTAAAAATATTCCTGTAATTAGGACTGGTGCGGTGGTTCCCACCTGTAATCCCAGCACGTAGGGAGGCAGAAGCGGGCAGGTTGCTTGAGCCCAGGATTTCAAGAACAGCTGGGGGAACATGGTGAAACCCAGTTTCTACAAAAAAAAAGTACAAAAGAGAGAGAGAGAAAGCCAGGCTTGTTGTTGCATTTCTGTAGTCTCAGCTACCCAGGAGGCTGACATGGGAGGATCGCTTGAGTCCAGGGAGGCTGAGGCTGCAGTGAGCTGTGATCATACCACTGCACTCCAGCATGGGTGACAGAGTGAGACCCTGCCTCAAAAAAACAAAACAGGGCCGGGCGCGGTGGTTCACACTGTAATCCCAGCACTTTGGGAGGCCGAGGTGGGTGGATCACGAGGTCAGTAGATCGAGACCATCCCAGCTAACATGGTGAAACCCCGTCTCTACTAAAAATACAAAAAATTAGCTGGGCGTGGTGGTGGGCGCCTGTAGTCCCAGCTACTCGGGAGCCTGAGGCAGGAGAATGGCGTGGACCCGGGAGGCGGCGCTTGCAGTAAGCCGAGATCGTGCCACTGCACTACAGCCTGGGCGACAGAGCGAGACTCCGTCTCAAAAAAAAGAAAGTTATTTTCCCAGCAGTTTAACTGCAGAGCTATGGAGTTGACTCAAGATACAAACCGAGGTGTTTCTTTCTTTTTTTTTTTTGAGACGGAGTGTCGCTCTGTCACCCAGGCTGGATTGCAGTGGTGCGATCTCAGCTCACTGCAAGCTCCGCCTCCCGGGTTCACGCCATTCTCCTGCCTCAGCCTCCTGAGTAGCTGAGACTACAGGCGCCCGCCACCGCGCCCCACTAATTTTTTTGTACTTTTAGTAGAGACGGGGGTTTCACCGTGGTCTCGATCTCCTGACCTCGTGATCCACCCGCTTCGGCCTCCCAAAGTGCTGGGATTACAGGCCTGAGCCACTGCGCCCGGCCAAACCGAGGTTTTTGGAATTGCAAAATGTTTCTTGAATATACCACTACCACATATATACACTCATACAGCATAATAGTTCTTCTACAGGTTTCTTCATAGTTCTTGTGATTTAAAACACCCCTGCCCAACACACATAAATAACATCAAATCAGAAATGAATTGTAATTGCCACAGTCTATAGCATATTGGAATTTCTTAGGTTTTAAAATTAGTAACTTTCTAGATTTAAGATTTTAAATAATTTACATACCATCAGTTAACACTTCATGGAAGACTTCAGTGGAGAGAGTGATACAAATATACATACATATATATATACATTACCTTTATGGAATTTTCAAAAAGCAAAAAATGGGAGTTATATATAGACCTCTGGGATTGGTGTGCAAGTGTTGTATAAAGGAAAGACAATTATGCAACAACCAAAAGGTATCTGCCGAAACCCGGGATTGAACCAGGGACCTTTAAGATCTTCGGTCTAACGCTCTCCCAACTGAGCTATTTCGGCTACTCTGGAGCTGTCCCGTTGGTCATTTCTTCAAAATATAAAAACTGCAATTTGTAAGGTCAGTGTATCTTCCAACGCCTAATTCGGTTGTCTTCAATATCACCCGTCATTCACTCACCTCCTCCCAATCCAAAAATATAAATTCTGCTGTAATTTATGTATGAAAATAGGATCCAATTTTCCCCGGCAAAAGACGGGAAAGAAAAGACGAGACGGCCGGGCACGGTGGCTCACGCCTGTAATCTCAGCATTTTGCGAAGCCGTGGAGGGTGGATCACTTGAGGTCAGGAGTTCAAGACCAGCCTGGCCAACATGGTGAAATCCCTTCTTTACAAGAAATATAAAAATTAGCCAGGAGAGGTGGCGCACGCCTGTAGTTTCAGCTACTTCGGAGGCTGAGGCAGGAGAATCGCTTGAACCAGGGAGTTCGAGGCTGCAGTGAGCCGAGATCGCGCCACTGCACTCCAGCCTGGGCGACAGCGAGACTCTGTCTCTAAAAAAAAAAAAAAAAAAAAAAGGCGAGGAATAGGTCAAATCAGCAAGATAGATGCTCCCATGCTTGGTCACCTTGGAAACACCGCTCAGAAAACTAAAGGAAACTATCTAAAACTAAAATGAAATTATCTAGACTTTTCCTTTTCTCTCCTTTTGGCTCTTTTTTGTTTTGTTTTCTGTCTTGCTCTTCAATGACATGGCAAAAAGGAACAGAAGATTATTGAACACGTTAACCTGGTAGTAGGTTTATAGCTTCCGACTGAAGAAATCCTGAGCGAGCCAATTCTTTTTCTCTGTTTCCTTCCTTTTACTGATCTAGTGCTAACACATCCACCTTAGGTGGTACAGAGAGCCAGGGGTGGAAAAGGCAAGCATATGTTTATTTTAGTGTGACCACGCTATATATATATATATATATATATATATATATATATATATATATATACACACACATATAAATATGAAATATATATAAATTAAAAATGTAAATATATTGTTGATATAGATATTATATATAATATAAAATATACATGTATCTCTCTCTCTATATATATATATAGAGAGAGAGAGAGAGAGAAGATTCCAGCGAGTGAGAGAGAGAGAGAGAGAGACAGGGTCCCACTCTGCCAGCCTGGAGTGCAGTGGCAATCTCCTCTCATTGCAACTTTCGCCTCCAGGCTCAATCCGTTCTCCCACCTCAGCCTAGAAATTCTTATATCACTTCAAAAGTGTGAAAACATTGGACTCCTCTTGTTAAATAACTTAGAAACAATTTCAGAGTTTACCGAATTTCAGAAACAATCCTCTCTGGAATGAGGAAATAGCTACAGCCAACAACGACTTGCAAATTGAATTTTAATAAAACCGTCCCTATGTCTGGACAGTTTTCAAACTCAGTCTCCTATTCCGAGAGAGTCCAGGCTTTCTGTTTTTAGCCAAAATTTGTTGGGAGGGTCAATTAAAATATTTTTTGAATAATTTCCTCAAAAATTTTAGATTCTCTTACAGGCTTTTTTCTTTTTTTCTCTCCCTCTTGTAAGGCCCGAACCTCCCCAGACAGGAAACAACATTCCTCCAGGTTTATCCCCGCCGCCTGACGTCTCTCCCCATCTGGACGCAGCCTCAGCCTATGCTGCAGAAAACGTTTGAAGTTGAGCATATAGAGAAGGAAAAAAAAAAAAAGGAAAGTGATGTGGAAATTAAAACAGTGGCTACATATAAATCTCAGCACAGTGCTTAGAATGTGTGTAAATGGTTCTAGGAGTGCACTGCACTATTGTGAAAAGTTCATTCAGAAGTAAACGGGAGGGAAGGTGGAGAGGAGCCGAGGGCCAGCTGGCGGAGAGAGGGAAGAGGCGGGGTGCGGTGAAGTGGAGAAAGAAACATAAAAAGGGAGAGGGGTAGAGGACAAGGAAAAGCATCCTCAAGATTATTAGGATTTGGATGGACGGGATGTTAGAGTGAGTCTAAGCACTCACCTCTCCGTCGCTTCTTCTGGATATGAGGGAAGAGAGGTAGGGAGGTAGGCTAGACCAGGAAAGGGACCTGGTTCTTTTCGTCCAGACTGCCACGGCTGCGAGAGCGCCTCGCCGCTCTTTCCATCGCTCGATAGACAGGCTAGGCTCTTTGGAGGAGCACGTGATGTTGCGTTTTTTGTTTGCGGGTTCGGGAACCGCTGATACTGATAGCTTCTGAGGGAGCTGCAGGGATTTCCCGATTTCCTGAGTGTCTGTGTTGAGAGTTAAAAGCGGAATCTGCCGACAGCTTCGAGACTGAGCAGGACAGTGGAAACGTCTAATTTTATTAGGCTTGAAATGCAGAAGATGAGAAAGAAAGTTCCCGTTTGTTTGCTCCACATGTTTCCTTTAGAATGAAGCCGATTGGAAGTCAACTTCACCCTGAAGAAATTCCTCCTGGCGTTTACAATGAGCTTCTTTACTCCCCAAGTCCAGCTCTTGGCTCAAAAGGGCTCTGCAGGTTGGTACAAAGGCTGCGGAAAGGCGAAGTCGCGGTACAATCGGTGTTAACTACATGTGCAGCCACCGTCTTCTTAGTCTTATTACAGGTGCAGAGGTAATATAGGTGAATCCCTCACAAGTTGAGTGGGTTGACCTCAAAATTGACTTTAGCGATGGCTTGTGACCACCTGGTAGGTGGTGGACCATTACAGCGTTTGGAAAATGAGTAAAACAAAGGATGCATACGGAAGCCCCACTAGCTTGCTTGGCTTCTGCAGATGCAGAGAGAGGTCGTTTTTCTGCCTTCTGGGTGTTGAGTAACTTAATTTTTTATCTTTTGTTTAAATGAAATAGAGCTGAAAATAGAAGGCGATTTCCTTTTAACGAGATAGTATTGAGATGCTTGCAGAGTATCCCCGCGTGGATTCTGCTTAGCTCTGTGATACCAGCATCAGAAACTGTGCAAAGAGCTCTAATCTGGAGGTGTGGGTTGTTCAGTAGCTTAGAAAGAGGTTATTCCTGGAGAATAAGTGCAGCAGGTAGAAAAGGATCCATTGGGATTGGGAGAATAAAAGTTCATTCATTATTTTTATTGATGGAAAACAAAGAAATGAGCTTTACCCTATACTGATCTTGGTTCCTGGAGTTCCGAGTGCTTGCATCTCAGGGCAGAAACTTCCTTAGAGGACCCAGAGAAATATGTTCCCCCTACCAAATGTCAGCTGAAGTGACTGTGATCTTTTTCTCATTTGTCATTATATTTGCCATTTATTGTATTCTTGTAGTTAAATAGTTTACATTAAGTTTTAGAGTTTGTGGGTTTCTAATGGAAAAAGTGACCACCAGCACATCAGGTCCTCAGCCACTGGCAGTGAAATCTTTTAGTGAAAGCTTGTAGGGCTTCTGCAACCTGGGTTAGAAGAAGAAATACAAGGCCAAGCATGGTAGCACACGCCTGTAATCCCAGCACTTTGGAAGTCTGAGGTGGGCAGATCACCTGAGGTCGGGAGTTCTAGACTAGCCTGACCAACAGGGAGAAACCCCCATCTCTACTAAAAATACAAAATTAGCCAGGCATGGTGGTGCATGGTTGTAATCCCAGCTACTCAGGAGGCTGAGGCAGGAGAATCACTTGAATCCGGGAGGCAGAGGTTGTGGTGAGCCAAGATTGTGCTATTGCACTCCAGCCTGGGCAACAAGAGTGAAACTCTGTCTCAAACAAACAAACAAACAAACAAACAAACACCACACGCAGGAAAGGACTTGCGCCACGTGGTTCTATGGTTTCTGATTATTTCATTTACAACTAGAAATAGGCTGGAGGGCCAGGAGTAGTACTTGCTTCCATAGTGCGTGGTTCACCTTAGTGACTGCTGGGACTGCTTAGAAAGAATAGGTGGATAATCGTAAGCAGCAAATAACCTTAAGTGAATGAACACGAATTACCTCTCTGTATGAGAGAGAGATGTAGAGGTCAACCCAAATATCTTGACAAGGCAGGACATTCTGGACAGCTGGGGAAGGTCATGGAGCTCTTCTTACAGTGCCACAGGGAAGAAAATGGACCTCTGGAGGTACTGGGGAATCAGCCCAAGACCTCGTGCATGATAAGTACACTCTCTACCACTGAGCTATACCCCCTCATACCTCCTGTGTATTTGGAAAACTGGTGACCACCATTATCTGAGTATGTGCTCTATGTCATAAAGACAATTACCATGTGTTTCCAATTCCACTGTTTATGATTTCCCTATATCTAAGTGCCCCCTCTCTTAGGCACGGTTACATCAAGAAAAGGTACGTTAACAGTAAAAAGAAAAACACTGTTCCTGATTTGGGATCAGCAAATCTATTTCCAAATAGAGCATTTCAAAAGTATAACATAACCACATTGAAAATTCAGGAAAGAATTGACCTAAGAAAATGGTTTATACATTGTTCTCATTGTAAAAAGAAAAAGAACAGCAAGCATATCTTAAACTCTATGTATCAGGAATATTTTCTGTAATGCTAAGGCAATAGCAATTCTGATATTTTGTGTGAATTTTAGGATTGGAAAAATGAGCATGTGTGCGCCTGTATGTTGTTGGAACCAGGCTCTCACTGTGGGAAAGGAGGAAGGTAAAGAATAGTCCTATTGGTGATGATGGGAATTAGAGGCATCAGTATGAAATTATACACTTAATTGTAAAATTTCTCCACAGATCTCTCTGCTAATTGGGCCTAGAAGAAATGATACCTCAGATGCAATGAGCAAAGATAATTCTATATATTGATTTTCAAATACCACTCCCTACTAAAAGGAACCAGCGATACTGATAGAAAGTAGCTACTGGTGTCAACTACACTGACTCCGGGACTGTGCCAGGGAAACTACAAGATGAACCTAAGATATCTTGCTGTGCCAGAATGTAGGTGCTCAGAATTGATGGGTATGATTTGAAAGGACAGAGAAGCCAGCTTGAAAGGGATCTCAATGGCCAAATCTGACACATTTTGAGCATTAATGATGACAATAAGTGATTATCAATCTTGGGAACTTAAACACATAAATATGGAAGATGGGAAGATTTTCCTTACAGTTGTGTGCCAAGTGATAAATGTGGAAGTAAGGATAAAATTAGAAAATCCTCATTTGGGCTGGGCGTGGTGGCTCACGTCTGTAATTCCAGCACTTTGGGAGGCCGAGGCAGGGGGATCACCTGAGGTTGGGAGTTCGAGACCAGCCTGACCAACATGGAGAAACCCCGTCTCTACTAAAAATACAAAACTGTGGTGAGCCGAGATCACACCATTGCACTCCAGCCTGGGCAAGAAGAGCGAAATTCTATCTCAAAAAAAATAATAATAATAATAATAAATAATGAGAAAAACTGACATCACATGCCTCTTGGTGTGATAGAGGGTAACATGATTTCTGTGACATTTCCATGACCTGAATGTAACCATGACTACACAAATTAAGAAACATTCAACAAAACCACTGGCATATGCTCTTCAAAAACATATTCATGAAAGACAAGAAGATTAAGAATCTGTTCCAAAGTGAAGGAGACTGAAAAGTCAAGACAACTAGATTCATATGTGATTCTGAAATGGCACCTAGTTTGGGAGAGAAATTCCTATAAAAGATTTTATTGATACAATTAAAATTTTTATAGACTGTATATTAGAGAATACTATTTTATCAATGTTAAGTTCTCTAAATTTGATAATTGTGCTGTGGTAAGAAATTGACCTTGTTCTTAGGAAATACACATTGAAGTATTTAGGAATAAAAAGATATAATGTCTGAAAATCATTATCAAATAGTTTAGAGAAATAATTTTTGTCATATGTACATATACATATATATACACACACACATACACACACACACATATATATTCCACTGTTGCTGATTGGTTGTTGAGGTGAGGAAGAGGCAAGACCGTGTTCTGAAATAATGTCAAGATTTGGACGATATGTGTTTCTCAAATGGTTCCCATTCCATTTTAAATGTTGCTAGGCTGAGACAAAGATACAAATTCCCCAATTTATATTAGAATTTAGCAGGTAGTTTATTTTGTTTTGTTTTGAGACAGAGTTTTGCTCTTGTTGCCCAGGCTGGAGTGCGATGGGAGGATCTTGGCTCACTGCAAACTCTGCCACCTGGGTTCAAGCAATTCTCCTGCCTCAGACTCCCAAGTACCTGGGATTACAGGTGTGTGCCACCACTCCCGACTAATTTTGTATTTTTAGTAGAGATGGGGGTTTCACCATGTTGGTCAGGATGGTCTCAAACCCCCAACCTGAGGTGATCTGCCCGCCTCGGCCTCCCAAAGTGTTGGGATTACAGGCGTGAGCCACTGTGCGCAGCCAACTCCTTTATAATCTTATAAGACCACCGTAGGATATGTGGTCTGTGGTTTACTAAAATGTCAACATGTAGCACATTACTGCACTCATATCAGATTTTTGGCCTCCAGAAGTGTGAAAGAATAAATTTCTGTTGTTATAAGCCATCTAATTTGAGATAATTTGTTACAGCAGCCATAGGAAACTAATCAATGACAAGCTTATTCTACTCTGCCAACTGCCTTGAGTGGTTTTGAGGCTCATGAAGTCTAAATAACGTAATATTGAAATTAACATCTTGGCAAAATTCAACAGCCCTTCATGCTAAAAACTCTCAATAAACTAGGTATTGATGTGATGTATCTCAAAATAATAAGAGCTATTTATGAAAAACCCACAGCCAATATCATATTGAATGGGCAAAAACTGGAAGCATTCCCTTTGAAAACTGGCACAAGACAGGGATGCCCTCTCTCATCACTCCTATTCAACATAGTGTTGGAAGTTCTGGCCAGGGCAATCAGGCAAGAGAAACAAATAAAGGGTATTCAGTTAGGAAAAGAGGAAGTCAAATTGTCCCTGTTTGCAGATGACATGATTGTATATTTAGAAAACCTCATCATCTCAGCCCAAAATCTCCTTAAGCTGATAAGCAACTTCAGCAAAGTCTCAGGATACAAAATCAATGTGCAAAAATCACAAGCATTCCTATACACCAGTAACAGACAGAGAGCCAAATCATGAGGGAACTCCCATTCACAATTGCTACAAAGAGAATAAAATACCTGGGAATCCAACTTACAAGGGATGTGAAGGACCTCCTCAAGGAGAATTACAAACCACTGCTTAACAAAATAAATGAGGACACAAACAAATGGAAGAACATTTCATGCTCATGGATAGGAAGAATCAATATCATGAAAATGGCCCTACTGCCCAAGGTAATTTAAAGATTCGGTGCGATCCCCATCAAGCTACCAATGACTTTCTTCACAGAATTGGAGAAAAACTATTTTAAAGTTCATATGGAACCAAAAAAGAGCCTGCATTGCCAAGACAATCCTAAGCCAAAAGAACAAAGCTGGAGGCATCATGCTACCTGACTTCAAACTATACTATATGGCTACAGTAACTGAAACAGCATGGTACTGGTACCAAAACAGAGATATAGACCAATGGAACAGAATAGAGCCCTCAGAAATAATACCACACGTCTACAACCATTTGATCTTTGACAAACCTGACAAAAACAAGAAATGGGGAAAGGATTCCCTATTTAATAAATGGTGCTGAGAAAACTGGCTAGCCATATGTAGAAAGCTGAAACTGGATCCCTTCCTTACACCTTATACAAAAATTAATTCAAGATGGATGAAAGACTTAAATGTTAGACCTAAAACCATAAAAACCCTAGAACAAAACCTAGGCAATACCATTCAGGACATAGGCATGGGCAAGGACTTCATGTCTAAAACACCAAAAGCAATGGCAACAAAAGCCAAAATAGACAAATGGGATCTAATTAAACCAAAGAGCTTCTGCACAGCAAAAGAAACCACCATCAGAGCGAACAGGCAACCTACAGAATGGGAGAAAATTTTTGCAACCTACCCATCTGACAAAGGGCTAATATCTAGAATCTACAAAGAACTTAAACAAATTTACAAGAAAAAATCAAACAACCCCATCAAACCCCAACAAAAAGTGGGCAAAGGATATGAACAGATACTTCTCAAAAGAAGACATTTATGCAGCCAATGGA
Organism: Homo sapiens; assembly: GCF_000001405.40. Classification (NCBI taxonomy): domain Eukaryota; kingdom Metazoa; phylum Chordata; class Mammalia; order Primates; family Hominidae; genus Homo; species Homo sapiens. The sequence goes on from NT_167246.2 coordinate 97,006, forward strand.
CACATGAAAAAATGCTCATCATCACTGGCCATCAGAGAAATGCAAATCAAAACCACAATGAGATTCCATCTCACACCAGTTAGGATGGCAATCATTAAAAAGTCAGGAAACAACAGGTGCTGGAGAGGATGTGGAGAAATAGGAACACTTTTACACTGTTGGTGGGACTGTAAACTAGTTCAACCATTGTGGAAGACAGTGTGGCGATTCCTCAAGGATCTAGAACTAGAAATACCATTTGACCCAGCCATCCCATTACTGGGTATATACCCAAAGGATTATAAATCATGCTGCTATAAAGACACATGCACACGTATGTTTATTGTGGCACTATTCACAATAGCAAAGACTTGGAACCAACCCAAATGTGCCTTCTATATGTAAGGCACATGTCCATCAATGATAGACTGAATTTAACAAACGTGGCACATATACACCATGGAATACTATGCAGCCATAAAAAAGGATGAGTTCATGTCCTTTGTAGGGACATGGATGAAGCTGGGAACCATCATTCTGAACAAACTATCACAAGGACAGAAAACCAAACACTGCACGTTCTCACTCATAGGTGGGAATTGAACAATGAGAACATTTGGACACAGGGTGGGGAACATCACACACCGGGGCCTGTCGCGGGGTGGGGTGATAGGGGAGGGATAGCATTAGGAGAAATACCTAATGTAAATGAGGAGTTAATGGGTGCAGCACACCAACATGGCACATGTATACATATGTAACAAACCTGCACGTTGTGCACAGGTACCCTAGAACTTAAAGTATAATGATTAAAAAAAAAAATCTTAAAAAAAAAAGAGGCCGGGCGCGGTGGCTCAAGCCTGTAATCCCAGCACTTTGGGAGGTCAAGACAGGCGGATCACGAGGTCAGGAGATCGAGACCATCCTGGCTAACACGGTGAAACCCGGTCTCTACTAAAAATACAAAAAAAAAAAAAAAAATTAGCCAGGCATAGTGGCAGGCGCCTGTAGTCCCAGCTACTCAGGAGGCTGAGGCTGGAGAATGGTGTGAACCCAGGAGGCGGAGCTTGCAGTGAGCCGAGATCACGCCACTGCACTCCAGCCTGGGCGACTGAGTGAGACTCCATCTCTAAAAAAAAAAAAAAAAAACAGAAATTAACGTCTTGGGGTCACGTGTTTACTTCTCATGTGACAGGCAACGAAAAGAGAGTAGGACACCTGAATGTGCTTTGTACTAAGGAGTGGTATTAAGAACTCGGAAACTGACCGTTGAAGGTTCTCGGGAGCTGAACCTGAGGCCTCCTATATGTAAGGCACACGTTCTATCACTGAACTACATCTCCTCATGCCAAGAGATATTTGTGTCGTCCTCCAAGTACTATTGCAGTATATGAAAACAATAAAAATATGGAAATAAAAAATAACTTAAAAATTAAAAAGGTGGCCGGGCACGGTAGCTCACGCTTGTAATCGCAGCAGTTTGGAAGTTGGAGGCGGTCAGATCATTTAAGGTCAGAAGTTCGAGGCCAGCCGAGCCAACAAGGTGAAACCCTGTCTCTACTAAAAATACAAAAATTAGCCGGGCGTGATGGCACGTGCCTGTAACCCCAGCTGCTCAGAGGTTGAGGCAGGAGAATCTCTTGAACCTGGGAGGTGGAGGCTGCAGTGAGCGGAGATGGCGCCACTGCACTCCAGCCTTGGGGACAGAGTGAGACTCTGTCTCAAAAAACAAACAAACAAAAACCCAAAAACCCTAAAAAGGTATTTCTCCAATCTAAAGATGTAAAAAATTAAATAAAATGAAAAATAAAGGAATATCTCGTTATATTCTGTGGGTCTCCATTCCTGTGTTCATTGTTTTAGCACTAAGTGTTGGGTTTAGAAGCAGGATTTGTGACCATTTTAAGTTGGAAGACCCCCAGCTGTGGGGGATATTGAAGTTTTGGCAAATAAAGCTTGAAATGGAACGCAGAATACTGGAAACTTGCGTTAGAAAACTGACCAGCTTTTTCCTGAATAAAGCACTTCTGCTATTGCTGTTTGCTTCACAGGAATGGTAAGAGCAAAACTTTGATGAGAAAACCCCAGGTGAGAATGAAAACCACATGCAACCTGTTATTCATTGCCAAGGGGTTCTTGATTGTACTACAGCATGAAGGCAACTGAGGAGGTTCATGGAGTAGCCCAGAATAATGTTCAAGACATGAAATAAATAGCAGATTCAAGGATGGAGAAAAACTTTGAAATTTTGAAAGCACATTCATAGGTAGCTAGACACAGGATTCAAAGACTTATTGGATTTATAGAGCAAGCCAGAAAGTGGGGAATCCATAAAAGAGAGCCTCAACAAACAGGAGGAAAAAAAGCAGAATAGAGATGCTTATTGTTCTTTGAAGGAATGGACAAGATATTAGGAGGAGGAGGTGAGTTTGTTTGGGAACGTGTTGAACTTACCATATTCTTCCGTAGGATCCTGCCCATTGGTGAAACACAGTGAACTTAGCCCAGTGCTCTGATCTGAATACGTGGAGGTGGGAGTGAGTAGAAGGCACCAATACAGTGTGAGTACAATGAGAACTCAAAGTGTCCTTTGAGATATGAAGATCAGAAACTTACTTACTGATAGTTGTGAAAAGCAAAAAAATGAACTTCTTCCTAGCTGATCTTCAACCCTGGAATTCACACTGGTTGTCACCATGGCCTTGAAACTTTCACAAAAGACCCAGAAAGTCTCATTTCCTGGCTAGTTTCCCAGTAGGTGTTATCTTTTCTCATTCATCTTCATTCTCATTCTCCTTATGTATGACTTTACCTATATTGGTAAGCATATTGCTGAGCCCCTTTCGAGGTTGGGAACACCTTATGGTTTGGCAGAATTTCTCTCTGTTGGCTCATAGGGATAGCGGAATAGGTAAGAGGAAACATAATGGCAGGTTTCACTGAAATTGGGTATTTAAGTGTCACCCACAAAACTCTACAAGCTCTGGTGTGTGTGTGTTTGTGCGCGCGCGCGCGCGTGAAAGTGCTGGGAGGATGTGAGAAAAATTATCTAGGCTGTTTTGGCCGGGCGCGGTGGCTCATGGCTGTAATCCCAACACTTTGGGAGGCCGAGGCGGGCGGATCACGAGGTCAGGAGACCGAGACCATCCTGGCTAACACGGTGAAACCCCGTCTCTACTTAAAAAAAAAAACAAAAAACAAAAAATTAGCCAGGTGTAGTGGAGGGCGCCTGTAGTCCCAGCTACTCGGGAGGCTGAGGCAGGAGAATGGCGTGAACCCAGGAGGCGGTGCTTGCAGTGAGCCGAGATCGCGCTACTGCACTCCAGCCTGGGCGACAGAGCAAGACTCTGTCTCAAAAAAAAAAAAAAAAAGAAAGAAAGAAAGAAAGAAAGAAAATTATCTAGACTGTTTGATGGTGTGAAAGTTGTTTCCAGAGTCATCATGTAATTATTCTCTAACTTGCACCTGAAGAAACCAAGATACCAGTTAGATTACCAGAAGTTCCCCACAAGGAGGTGTTTCTTTTTTTTTTTTTTTCTGTTTGCCCCAAAGTACAGAGAACACTGTGAGAATTGTTTAAGTTTCTGTAAGCATTCAGAAATATCTATGCATGGGGAGACATAGGATGAGTTCCAAATATATGAGATTTTTCTGATGAACCAACCATTTATCTCAGGAGATAGAACTCATTCATACTCAATTACTCTGCTCAGGGAGCCTGCAGACATGCGAATGACATCTCTAGACAATCTACAACCAGAGAGAAGATTGTAACTGGTTGAGTACTGTTTTCTTAAAGTTGACAAAAAGGTGGAGTAATAGTTTTCATGTAAGGAGCTCTTATATGATAATCTAGAAATTGAATTCACTCTATATTCTTTGGGATTTACATCTTGATTTGTTGACAGGGAGAGGGAGGTTTGATTACACTGTTGTAAGTCTCCCACCTTGATTGAATATTAAAAAAGAATTCCTGAACTAGACAGTAAAGGGTTAAATAATCTTTTTTCTTCAATTAAATATGTCTTTGAAAAGAATAAAACTCTACCTTTTGAGTCAGATTGACTACATGGCCTGATGGATTGTGTCTGCTTCCATATCACTGTGCAGCCAATGGTCCTGCCCACCTGCCGCTTCCCACACATTCACCCAGGGTCTCACGCATGGCCACGTCCTCATTCCTCTCAGAAGTCCTTAATTTTTTTTTTTTTTTTTTGAGATGGAGTCTCATTGTGTCACCCAGGCTGGAGTGCAGTGGCATGATCTTGGCTCACTGCAACCTCCGCCTCCGAGGTTCAAGCAATTCTCCTGCCTCAGCCTCCCAAGTAGCAGTGATTACAGGTGGTCGCCACCATGCCCAGCTGATTTTTGAAAGAGGTCCTTAATTTCTCTGTGGAGAAAAATTTTTTTAAAATATGATCTCATTGAAGTATACAACCCCAAAATAAAATATAGTTGAATTTCCAAAATTCATCTACAATGTACCTTAAAATGATTCACTATTGTCCTAGGCCAAAGATAGGCACTGTTTGCTCTCAAAGAAGTACTTCTATCTGTCATATGTCATTTGTTTTCATTGTCCCAAGATGTTTTTGAAATCTCCATCCTATATTTTCTATAGCTTTCTTATATTAAACTCTTGGTTTTTGCATCCTATCCATTTCTACCCTAAATTACAGAGGTGGACTTCCTTAAAGAAGTCTATTGTGGGGAGCAGAAAAAAATATTTCCATTTGGGCCTGAGCCCTAGCATAAAGCAATGGTAATAATTCATGATAATTTTCCTCATGCTTTTACTATATTCCTTTGCAAATTGATTCCCATGATTGAAGCCTGTGAATAATTTTTTTCTGCCACAGTGAGTATAAGTGGCAAAGAGACATTGTGGAACTGTACTTTGAAAATGAGAGAAGAGAGAGAAAAAATGTCAACAGAACAGAAAATTATCTATTTCCCACATCAAGAAAGTCTGGGTCCTCAGTACTAACTCTGAATCTTTCTTTAAAGAAGTAAACTGAAACCCAAGACATCTTAATCTGAGAAAGAATGACTTTTGGAACTTATTTTCTCCATTGAAAATTTCCTAATCACTTCACAGGGACAGAGGTGGCCTGATATTATATCGGAAACCAAGGATTTCCCAATTCTTGAGATATCCTTCAGCTCACACTTTCATTAGGGTTAGCAAAGGGTTTTGGATCTTTAAAATCTATCACAGGGCTTAGAATACAAAGTGGTGTTAATACAAAAGTTCTTGAAGATTTGGTGGTAGCTGATGAGAAGAGGGCTGTGTATTCTGGAATGATTACAAGGTCTTATTCTATTTAAAATGTTTCAGAGCAAGGATACAAACTTCCCAGTTTACATTAGAAGTTAGCACAGCCTTTATTGCAAAACTTGCGAAAAAGAAAATAAAGGCCGGGAGTGGTGGCTCATGCCTGTAATCCCAGCACTTTGCGAGGCGGGCGGATCATGAGGTCAGGAGTTCGAGACCAGCCTGGCCAATATGGTGAAACCCCGTCCCTAAAAAAAATATAAAAAATTAGCCGGGCGCGGTGGCGCGCGCTTGTTGTCCCAGTTACTCGGGATGCTGAGGCAGGAGAATCGCTTGAACCCGGGAGGCGGAGGTTGCAGTGAGTCGAGATCGCGCCACTGCACTCCAACCTGGACGACAGAGTGAGACTCCGTCTCAAGAAAAAAAAAAAAGAAAATGAAAACTTCACATCATATTCAATCATGAATAGTGATTCAAAAAATATTACTAAGTACAATATTGCCAGAGAGGCAAGGAACAGAGTCAATGATTAGAACACAAAAATGATTCAGCAATAGAAATATATATTTTTTGCAATTATGTTTTCTGTTAGAATAGAAAATTGGGGGAAAAAACACAGCCGCGTATTTATACTATACACCCTTACTCCATCCACGTCAAAGCACGTCATATTGCTTCTTAAATGTGCAAAAGAATCTCTTGTGGATCTTGTTAAATTGCTACTTCTGGTTCAGTACGTCTGAGGTGAAGCTGAGATTTCGCTCTTCTAACAAGCTCTCCGGTGCCACCAACTCTTGTGTGGACCAAGAGTCTGAAAGATATCCTTACGATAGAGGGCGCACCTGTCTTAGGTAAAATTACTTCTGTAACGTCATCTAAGGGAAGTCAAATTATCCGGCAGGAGTGAAGACAGAATAAAACTGGAAATCAGTCCGTGAACTTTGAGATCTTCAGCAGAGCATGCTTCCCAGTGGAGCTATTTCGGCAGAAGTGTGACGCCTCTACATTCATTGATGAAAATAACTTTCTCAATTTCCCAGTTTGGAAGGCTTTGCGTTTGTCAGGGCTCAGCCTGCGATGGATCATGGCTAAACAAGGACCAGAAAAAAAATAAAGGAAATCGGCTGGGAGCGGTGGTGGCTTACTCCTGTAATCCCAGCACTGTGGGAGGCCGAGGCGGGAGGATCACGAGGTCAGGAGATCGCGACCATCCTGGCTAACACGGTGAAACCCTGTCTCTACCAAAAAAATAGAAAAAATTAGCCGGGCGTGGTGACGGGCGCCTGTAGTCCCGGCTACTCGGGAGGCTGAGGCAGAAGAATGGCGTAAACCCGGGAGGCGGAGCTTGCAGTGAGCCAAGATCGTGCCACTGGGCGACAGAGCGAGAGACTCCGTCTCAAAAAAAAAAAAGTAATAAAGAAAATTGAGAGCTTACGTTTTTCTTTTATTAAATATTTCCACATTTATCTTTTATTTCCTACTTTTTAAATAACAATACTCCAAAGGTTAATGAGCTCGTCAATTTGGCGACGCCATTGAAGTTTTGGAATCCGGAGCCGTCTTTGTCTTCCAGCTCCATCTTTTCCACCTTTTGCTTAGGCAGTCCCCCGAGTCGTGTCAAGGCTGAGGAGTAGAAATGGAACAGCACTAATATTAATGGCAAAACCGTTGTGAAATAGGGTTACTTTCTGTTTAAGCAAGGAAAATAAAGTAAAGCAATGGGAAAAAAATTAAAAGCAAAAGGAATGGAGGTGCCGGGGATTGAACCCGGGGCCTCGTGCATGCTAAGCACGCGCTCTACCACTGAGCTACACCCCCGTACTGAAACGGTTCTCTCGAGAGTATATTCAAGATCAGAATCTGACCCTTTTGCTAGGTTTCAGAACCATTAGTTGTAATCAGCCAAGGTCTATTTTATTTAGTTATTTCTGATATCTCAAATTTAGGTTTTGCGTCCCTCTTTGCTGACAGCTGAGCAAACCGCATTCTACACCGAAGGCCCTCTATTGATGGCCCTGGGATTTTTCTGCTCGTCAGTCCGGAGTCACTTACCGGGCACCACTAGAAGAACCCGGGATGAAACATTTTCTCCCGTGTCTTGACTCTCTCCTTTCTTTCACCGCTGCTTTAAAGGGCTGCCAGAAAGCCACAAAGTACAAAGCGAGGCATTTAGAGACCATAGTAGATGCAGGTGGCGAGGGAAGACAGGTGGAGAAACGCAGACGGGTTCGTGTCGGTGCAGCCACTGCTTTGGACCCGAGCCTCCGTCCCGCCGGGGGCCGGGGTGCTGAGCCCAGCGAGGCGCGGACTGGGGAGCGAGGAAGAGGAGCACCCGCCAGATCGCGCCCCCTTTCGGGCAGAATCCGCTCCCGGTCCGGTCCCGATTGGCAGAAAACGATACGAGGGCGGTATACACTCAACACGCGCATGAACGATTCATCAAGCCCTCCGTGTGCCGGGTCTGGCTCACCAACCTCATCCTCTGAGCTCCGGGCTTCTGCCTCCCAGCCCAAGGAACCCACAGGGTCTCAGCCAACACTGGGAGAGTAGCTTAAATGGGCAGAAAGACAAGATAAGGGGATGTGGTGAATAACAGAATTATCCAATCCTATTATCAGCCCATCTGAGATTAAAGGGACGTCAATCATACTTGAATACTTTATTTAAAAAAAACAGTTTGCAGAGGGTCGCATACAAGAAGAATAAAGTGGTTTTTTTTTTTCATAAAAATGTGGATTCAGGAGCATTACCGGAAATAATCAAGGAACGAGGAAGAGTGTGGCGAGAGAGTTCGGGTCCGGTATACCTCTCTCTCCGCACCACATTCTTTTGTAGTACCTGTGAAACATTCATGAAAACGGACCACAGAAGAAAACCTCAGTAAGTTCCAAAGTATAGAAATAACACAAACATCATTCTCTGACCATCATGCAATAAAACTAGAAATTGATAAAATAAAAAATAAAAGTCACTTCCACCTGAAAATTTTAAAGCATGCTATAATACAACTCGAGTCAAGAAGGAAATACAAATTTTAATTACATAATTTCTTGAAAGGGACAAAAGTGCAAATGTGACATAGAATCTGTGAGATAGAGCTAAAGCATTTATCAGAAGGAAATTTATTTCCTCACATACCTATATCGATAACAAAAAATAACAAATGAATCAAACACAGCTCAAGATGCTACTAAATGAACAACAAAATAAACCAAAAGAATGAGGAAGGAAGGGTTGTAAGGACAAATTCAGAGAATGAGTTAGAAACAAAGTATAACTAATAAAGATACAAAAAAGGTGGATATTTGAAAGTCAACAAAATAGACAAACCTCTAGCCAACAAAGAGAAAATTAGTGCAAATACACAAAATTAGAACTGGAGGAAATAATCATCAACACAGAAGACCTTTTTTGAAATCATCAGAGATAACATAACACAACTAGCAAATAACTGGCAAACTTAGTGGATTTTTTAGACAAATGTAGCATACTCAAACTAACCCTTGTAGAGACAGAAAGTCTAAACAGACCAGTTAAGAAAAATAGTTTAACAGGCATACTCAATAAAAAGGGCACCAAGCTCAAATACTTTCATAAAGAAATCCTACCAAACTGTCAAATATCAAAAAATCATGATGCTACTTAAATTATTCGAAGCATAGACACTAGCACTTTATAAAGTTAGTATAACATTTCAGTTTGCACTAAAAATGAAAACTACAGGTCAATTTCACATATGAAATATATGAAATGTAATGCCTAAATCTTAAATAAAATTTATAGCAAACAGAATACAATAGCACATTTAAAACAGTAATACAGGATGTCCAAGTAGGGTTTATTCCAGGAGTGTAAAGATCACTCATTATTAGGAAAGATATTAATATAATCCATTGTAATTGGAACTGGAGGTCATTATGTTAAATAAAGTAAGCGAGAAACAGAAAGACAAATTTCACATCTTTTCAGTCATATGTGGGAGTTTAAAAAGTTGATCTCATGGAGGTAGAGAGTAGAATCATAGATACCAGGGTCAGGGAAGGGTGTGTGCATTGGAGCTGCGTACAAAGGCAGGTTGGTCAATGTGTACAAACATATAATTAGATAGAAGGTATAGGTTCTTTTTTTTTTTTTTTTTTTTGAGTTGGAGTCTGGCTGTCTTGCCCAGGCTGGAGTGCAGTGGCACCATCCCAGCTCACTGCAACCTCCACCTCCCAGGTTCAAGTGATTCTCCTGCCTCAGTCTCCTGAGCAGCTGGGATTACAGGTGCCTGCCACCACAGCCAGCCTCTAATGTTGATAGTAGAGTAGGGTGACTATAGTTAGCAACAATGTATTGTATATTTCAAAGTAGCTATAAGAGATAACCTGAAACCAACACATAGAAATGATAAATACTCAAAGTGATGGATACCCCAAATACCCTGACTTTACTCATAATAAGTGAAAGACATACTAAATTAGATTGGATAGCATACTTTGTTGTCAAGGTTGCCGAGAAATTAGTCTTTTCATAGAGTACTGGTGGGAATGGAAAATGGTATAATTCCAAGGGCAGAAAATTTGCAGTATCTAGAAAAAATGTATAATTATTTACCCTTTAACCCACAAATTCCACTTCTAAAAAGCTATCCCTAATATATACTATCAAAATAAAAAGGGCCAGGCACAGTGGCTTACGCCTGTAATCTCAACACTTTGGAAGGCCAAGGCCGGCAAATCACTTGAGGCCAAAAGTTTGAGACCAGCCTGGTCAACACAGTGAAACCCTGCCTCTACTAAAAATACAAAAAGTAGTCAGGTGTAGTGGCGGGCACTTGTAATTGCAGCTCCTCAAGAGGCTGAGGCAGGAGAATTGCTTGAATCCCAGGAGGCAGAGGTTGCAGTGAGCCAAGATGTCACCACAGCACTCCAGCCTGGGTGAGAGAGCAAAACTCCATCTCAAATAATAATAATAATAATAAATACTAAATAAATAAAAAGGAAAACAGATGCATGACTATTCATCACAACTCTATTTGTAAAGCAAAAGAAGGAAACAATCCAGGCCGGGTGCGGTGGCTCATGCCTGTAATCCCAGCACTTTGGGAGGCTGAGGCAGGTGGATCACCAGGTCAGGAGATTGAGACCATCCTGGCTAACATGATGAAACCCCGTCTCTATTAAAATACAAAAAATTAGCTGGGTGTGGCGGCACGTGCCTGTAGCCCCAGCTACTAGGGAGGCTGGGGCCAAGATCATGCCACTGCACTCTAGCCTGGGAGACAGAGCGAGACTCCATCTCAAAAAAAAAAAAACAAAAAAAAGGAAACAATCCAAATGTCTGACAAAAGGGTCAATTTGAGAAAACTATGGTACATCAATATAATGTCACTGTAAAAAGGAATACTAAATGATCAGCTTCAATCTCTCCTTCCCCTATGAAGAAGGGCATATATGTATTTGAACTTCACTGGGACACTGGGTAATCACTCTCCTACAATTACCCCATGCTTATGTATGTTAAATAAATTTTGTATGTCTTTTTCTTTTATTAATCTGCCTTTGTCACTTCATTTTCAGCAAATTTCAGTGGGCAGAGAGGAAGCTTTTCCGCCACCCCTACATAGTTAATACTCTACCTTGAGCATGGCACACAGAGAATACTAAGGTGCTAATAGCTCTTACTGCGGCTTGTGAGGCAGTGGCTTCAAAACAGGAAATACAAGCCAAGAGGATTTCAGACTACTGCACTTCATCCACTGAGTGTTCAGCATCTAGAACTTTTCTTCCACAAAGAGAAACATGCAATTGTTACCACCTCTAGCTCCAGAGTCCTAGCTCAGAGATTTTTCCTATAGAAAGAAATGAGCCAGCCGGGCATGGTGGCTCATGTCTGTAATCCCAGCACTTTGGGAGGCCAAGGCGGGCAGATCACCTGAGGTCAGGAGTTTGAGACCAGCCTGGCCAACATGGCGAAAACCCATCTCTACTAAAAATACAAAAAAAATAGCTGGGCCTGGTGGTGTGTGCCTATAATTCCAGCTACTATGGAGGCTGAGGAAGGAGAATCGCTTGAACCCAGGAGGTGGAGGTTGCAGTGAGCTGAGATTGTACCACTGCACTCCAGCCTGGGCGACAGAGCAAGACTCCATCTCAAAAAAAAAAAAAAAAAAAAGAAGAAGAAGAAATAAATGAGCCAAAAAGTAGATAGCTTCCAATCCTTTCCCAAAATAACTGATTTAATTTGTAACATAGAATAGAGAAGTGGAAAGCTAAGGGCATTCTCAAGAATGGTGGAGATTTTGATGAAAGGTAATTGGGAGGAAATTTGTGAATCTAAGAAAGATAGATCTTAAACTGCAGTCTGGCTAGTATGCAGGAGAGAATCAGGAAATAAGACAGGTAGGAGGAACCCTTTTGGAGTCAGGACAAATATCAAATACTTACATCAGAAACTATTCCATTTAAGGAGCTACATTTTGATTGGATTTGTTCATAGAGGAATTTATACCTCAAGGCATTGTTGAAAACAATACAACAACTGGTCAGCAATAACTGAAACACAACAGTAGGGTGTGGTCAGAAAAAGAGTGAAAAAGAACATTGCCAGCACCACTGTCATCCCAGGGTGACTGGGGGCATACCAAAAACTGCATCACCACGAAGACTAATGTCAGAGGATTAGCACTCTTGGGAGTGAAATATCCAGGGTTATATAATACTCCATGTTAATAAAATGAATGGCAATAATCAAATATCATCTCAATTGAGATACAGAAAGGATTCAACAAAATTCAACACACTTTTATGAAAAAAGCACTCAGCGGCCAGGCGCGATGGCTCACGCCTGTAATCCCAGCACTTTGGGAGGCCGAGGCGGGCGGATCACGAGTTCAGGAGATCGAGACCATCGTGGCTAACACGGTGAAACCCCGTCTCTACTAAAAAAAATGAAAAAAATTAGCCGGGCATGGTGGCAGACGCCTGTAGTCCCAGCTACTCGGGAGACTGAGGCAGGAGAATGGCGTGAACCCGGGAGGCAGACTTTGCAGTGAGCAGAGATGGCGCCACTGCACTGCAGCCTGGTCAAGGGAGCAAAACTCCGACTCAAAAAAAGAAAAAAGAAAAGAAAAAAGAAAAAAGTACTCAGCAAACTAGGAATAGAATGAAACTACCTCAACTTAATAAAAGCCATACATGAAAAGCCCACAGGTAATATATTCAGTGGCCTTAGCTTTTCCTCTAAGATCTAGAACAAGGCAAGGATGCTTACTCTCACCACTACTGTTCAACATAGCACTAGAAGTCCTACTCAGAGCAATTAGACAAGAAAAAAAGCCCCAGTGCGCTGGCTACAGCCTGTAATCCCAGCACTTTGGGAGGCCGAGAGGGTGCACTGCTTGAGCCCAGGTGTTCAAGACCAGCCTAGGCAACATGGTGAAACCCCATAACCATAAAAATCTACAAAAACTAGCCGGGCATGATGGCATGCACCTGTAATCCCAGCTACTTGGGAGGCTGAGGCAGGGTTCACTTGAACCCGGGAGGTGGAGGTTGCAATGAGCCGAGATCACACCATTGTACTCCAGCATGGGGACAAAGCCAGACCCCGTCTTGAAAGAAAAGAAAAGGAAGGAAAGAACGAAAGAAAGAAACAAAAGTCATCCAAACTGGAAAAGAAAACTAAAATTATCTGTTTACAGATGACATGATCTTATATGTGGAAACCCTGAAGACCTTCCCACACACACACAAAAAAACCTGTTACAACTAATAAACAACTTTAGAAAAGTAGCAGGGTATAAAATGAACACACAAAAATCAGTTGCATTTCTACAAACTAGCAATGACCAACCTGAAAAGAAAATTAAGAAAACAATCCCATTTACTATAGCACCAAAAAGAATAAAATATTTAGGCATAAACTGAACCAAGGAGGTAAAAGACTTGTGCGGGAAAAACTACAAAACATTGCTAAAAGAAATCAGACAAGATACAAATAAATGGAAAGGCATCCTGTGCTTGTGGAGTGGAAGACTTTAATACTGTGAATAAGTACATATTATCCAACGTGATCTACAGATTCAATGGCATTCTTATCAAAAACTCAATGGCAATTTTGCAGAAATAGGAAAATATAGAAAAAAATCATCCTAAGACTCATATGGAATCTCCAGGGAACCTGAACAGCCAAAACAATCTTGAAAAAGAACAAAGCTGTAGAACTCATTCTTCCTGATTTTGAACCATACTAGAAAGCAACGCTAATGAAGATGGTTGTAGGGGCCAGGCGCAGTGGCTCATGCCTGTAATCCCAGCACTTTGGGAGACCAAGGTGGGTGGATGACGAGGTCAGGAGTTCAAGGCCAGCCTGGCCAGCATGGTAAAACCCCGTCTCTACTAAAAATACAAAAGATTAGCTGGGCATGGTGGCACGTGCCTATAGTCCCAGCTACTTGGGAGGCTGAGGCAGGAGAATTGCTTGAACCCGGCAGGCAGAGGTTGCAGTGAGCTGAGATCATGCCAATGCACCCTAGCCTGGGTGACAGGTGACAGAGCAAGACTCTGTCTCAAACAAAAAAGATGGTTGTATTACTGACATAAAGACAGGTATACAGACTAATGGAACAGAGAGCCCAGAAATAAATCCTTGCATATATGGATGAATAATTTTGACAATGATGCCAAGACTACACAATGGAGAAAGGACAGAGCCTTCAGTAAACAGTATTGGAAAAAGTGGTTATCTACATGCAAAATAATGAATTGGACCTTATCTTTATACATATACAAAAAAAATTCAAAATGGGTTAAAGACCTAAACATAAGACCAAAAACTATACAACTCCTCGAAGAAAACATGGAGGAAAAGCTTCAGGACATTGGATTTGACAGTGATTTCTTGGACAAGCCACCAAGAACACAGACAACAAAAGCAAAAATAGACAAATGGGACCACACCAAACTTAAAAATTTCCGCACATCAAAGGAAACAATCAAAAAAGTGAAAACACAACCTATGGAACAGGAGGAAAATGTTTGCAACTGATAAAGGGTTAATATCCAGCGTATATAAGGAACTTGTACAACTCAACAACAACAAAAAACAAATAACCTGATTTTAAAATGGGCAACAGACTTTAATAAACATTTCTTGAAAAAAGATATACAAATAGCCAATAAGCATATGAAAAAATGTTCAACATTACTAATCATTAGAGAAATACAAATCAAAATCATAATGAAATATAATCTCACATCTGTTAGGATGGCCCTATGAAAAGAATAGAAAATAACAAGTGTTGGAGAGGATATGCAGAAATTGGAAATGTGTGCACTGTTGGCGGGAATGTAAAATGGTGCAGCCATTATGAAAAACAGTGTGGAGTTCGTGGTCTATATACATATATATATACATGTATATATATAAGTTATAGGTTTTCATCCACAGTTACTGGTTCATAACTTCCATCTCCCTTGTTACAGTCTTTTGTTATAATGTTGTGTGTGTTAGGCCTCAGGGGCAGGCCTCAAGGAACAGAATCTACCTCCTGCCTTCCTTTCACCTGCCCCAAGGCAGAACTCTAATATTACCCCATCTTTTTCATTATGGGTCTTAAGACCCTCCCCTGGGAGGGTCCAGTCTCATACCCTGGAGGAAGGAATGCTTCCATACAAACCCAAGAAGACTGGGTTCAAAGACCTCCAGATAGCTGAACCCGTGAAGGTTGCTGGAGGGTGGCATGCCCAGGGAGGGCATGGAAGCTCCATACCCCTTCCACCATACCTTGCCCTGCCAGTCTATTCATCTGTGTCCTTTATAATAAACTGGTGAATGTAAATGTTTCCCTGAGTTCTGTGAGCCACTCCAGCAAATTAACTTAACCCAAAGAGGAGGTTGTAGGAACCCCAAATTGAAACCAGTCAGTCAAGAAGTCCCAGAGACCCAGACTTGCAACTGGTATCTGAGGCTATAGGGGGAAGTCTTGTGGACTGAGCCCCCAACCTGCAGGAACTGACATTACCTTCAGGTAGACAGTGTCAGAACTGAATTGGAGGACACCTAGCTGGTGTCTGCTGCTTGATGTGTGGGGAAAAACCTTCACACATTTGGCCACAGTAGTCTTCTATGTTGATGATTATTGTGGTGTAAGACTAGAGGAAAATGGTTGGTGAGAGTTTTCCCAACACAGGGTTTCTTCACAAAATTAAAATTATGATTCCCATATAATCCAGCAAACCTACTTCTGCAGGGGTTTCAAAAGAATTCAAAAGCATTCAAAGTAGGATCCTAAAGAGATAACTGTAGCATTATTCACACTAGCCAAGAGGTAAAAGCAAAACAAATGTCAATTGACAGATGAATGGATATACCAAATGTGGTATATACATACAACAGAATATTATGTAGCCTTAAAAAAGGAAATCCTATCACATACTACAATGATAAATCTTGAGGACATTATGGCAAGTGAAGTAAGCCAGTCACAAAAGAACAGACACTGTATGATTCCACTAATAAGAAGTATCTAAAGTAGACACAATTATAGAAACAGAAGGTAGAAAGGTGGTTGCCAAGGACTGGCTGGAAGGGAGAGGAGAATTAGCGTTTGTTGGGCATAGAGTTTCAGTGTTGAAAGATGAAAGTGTTCCAGAGATCTGTTGCATAACAATGTGAATATACTTAATACTACTAAACTGTATACTTAAAAATGGTTAGGATGATAAATTTAATGTTATGTGTTTTACTTTTATTTAAAACAATTTAAATACGTTCAGATAAATAAAAATGAGTTCAGTCAGGCGCGGTGGCTCATGCCTGTAATCCCAGCACTTTGAGAGGCCAAGGCGGGCGAATCACTTGACGCTAGGAGTTGGAGGCCAGCCTAGTCACAAAACCATGTCTCTACAAGAAAATATAAAAAATTAGCTGGGTGTGGTGGCACATGTCTGTAATCCCAGCTACTGGGGAGGCTGAGGCATGAGAATCGTTTGAACCTGGGAAGGTGAGGTTGCAGTGAGCTGAGAATGTGCCACTGCACTCCAGCCTGGGTGACAGGGTGAGACTAGGTCTCAAAAAAAAAAAAAAGTACACAACAGCACAACATATCAAAATGTACTGGATACAGCTAAAACAGTGCTAAGAAGTAAATTTATAGCTGGGAATGTTTATGTTAGGAAAGACAAAAGATCTTAAATCAATAGCCCTTACATTGTAAGACACTGAAAAAAGACGAGCAAACTAAAGCTAACGCAACAGGAAGGAAAGAAATAAAGATTAGAGTGGAAACTAATGAAATAGAAAAACAATAAATAAATAAATAAAATAAAATATTTATTTCTTAAAAAGGTAAACAAAATTGTCAAACCCTAAACTAGATTGACCAAGATAAGGGAGAGATGATTCAAGTCACTAAAATCAGAATTGAAATGGAAACATTACTGTGGGGCGCAGTGGCTCACACCTGAAATCCCAGCACTTTCGGAGACCGAGGTGTGTGCATCACGAGGTCAGGAGTTTGGGACCAGCCTGGCCAACATGGTGAAACCCCATTTCTACTAAAAATACAAAAATTAGGTAGGTATGGTGGTACCCACCTGTAGTCCCAACTACTCAGGAAGCTGAGGCAGAAGAATCACTTGAACCTGGGAGCCGAGATTGTGCCACTGCACTCCAGCCTGAGGGACAGAGTGAGACTGCATCTCGGAAAAAAAAACAAAAAACAAAAAAGAAATCCCCTGTTAGAAGAGAATAAAATAGAGTGAAAACAAGATGGCCAAATAGGAACAGCTCTGGTCTGCAGCTCCCAGCGTGATTGCCACAGAAGATAGGTGATTTCTGCATTTCCAACTAAGGTAACTGGTTCATCTCACTGGGACTGGTTGGACAGTGGGTACAGCCCATGGAGGGTGAGCTGAAGCAGGGCGGAGCATCGCCTCACCTGGGAAGTGCAAGGTTCAGGGGATTTCCCTTTCCCAGCCAAGGGAAACTGTGACAGAGTGTACCTGGAAAATCGGGACACTCCTGCCCTAATACTGCACTTTTCCAATGGTCTTAGCAAATGGCACACCAGGAGATTATACCCAGAGCCTGGCTCAGAGGGTCCTACGCCCACGGAGCCTTGCTCACTGCTAGAGCAGCAGTCCGAGATCGAACAGCGAGGTGGCAGCCTGGCTGGGGGAGGGGGTCCTCCATTGCTGAGGCTTGAGTAGGCAAACAAAGTGGCCCAGAAGCTCTTATTGGGTGGAGTCCACCACAGCTCAAGGAGGCCTGCCTGCCTTTGTAGACTCCACCTCTGGGGGGCAGGGCATAGCTGAACAAAAGGCAGCAGAAACTTCTGCAGACTTAAACGTCCCTGTCTGACAGCTCTGAAGAGAGCAGTGGTTCTCCCAGCACGGAGTTTGAGTCCTAAGAAGGGACAGACTGCCTCCTCAAGTGGGTCCCTGACCCCTGTGTAGCCTAACTGGGAGACACCTCCCAGTAGGGGCCGACTAACACCTCATACAGCCAGGTGCCCCTCTGAGACGAAGCTTCCAGAAGAAGGATCAGGCAGTAATATTTGCTGTTCTGCAATATCTGCTGTTCTGCAGCCTCTGCTGGTGATACCCAGGCAAACAGGGTCTGGAGTGGACCTCTAGCAAACTCCAACAGACCTGCAGCTCAGAGACCTGTTAGGAGGAAAACTAACAAACAGAAAGAAATAGCATCAACATCAACAACAAGGACATCCACACCAAAAGCCCATCTGTAGGTCACCATCATCAAAGACCAAAGGCAGATAAAACCACAAAGATGGAGAGAAACCAGAGCAGAAAAGCTGAAAATCCTAAACACCAGAACACCTCTTCTCCTCCAAAGGATCGCAGCTCCTCACCAGCAATGGAACAAAGCTGGATGGAGAATCACTTTGATGAATTGACAGAAGTAGGCTTCAGAAGGTCAGTAATAACAAACTTCTCCGAGCTAAAGGAGGCGGTTTGAACCCATCATAAGGAAGCTAAAAACCTTGAAAAAAGATTAGACAAATGGCTAACTAGAATAAACAGTGTAGAGAAGACCTCAAAGGACCTGATGGAGCTGAAAACCATGGCACGAGAACTACGTGACACATGTAAAAGCTTCAGTAGCCGATTCCATCAAGTGGAAGAAAGGGTATCAGTGATTGAAGATCAAATTAATGAAACGAAGCAAGAAGAGAATTTAGAGAAAAAAGGGTAAAAAGAAGCCGGGCGCGGTGGCTCACGCCTGTAATCCCAGCATTTTGGGAGGCCGAGGCGGGCGGATCACAACGTCAGGAGATCGAGACCATCCTGGCTAACACGGTGAAACCCCGTCTCTACTAAAAATACAAAACATTAGCTGGGCATGGTGGCGGGCGCCTGTAGTCCCAGCCACTCGGGAGGCTGAGGCAGGAGAATGGCGTGAACCCGGGAGGTGGAGCTTGCAGTGAGCCAAGATGGCACCACTGCCCTCCAGCCTCGGTGACACAGTGAGACTCTGTCTCAAAAAAAAATAAATAAATAAAAGAAAAAAGGCTAAAAAGAAACAAACAAAGCCTCCAAGAAATATGGGACTATGTGAAAAGACCAAATCTACGTCTGATTGGTGTACCTGACACTGACAGGGAGAATGGAACCAAGTTGGAAAACACTCTTCAGGATATTATCCAGGAGAACTTCCCCAACCTAGTAAGGCAGGCCAACATTCAAATTCAGGAAATACAGAGAACACCACAAAGATACTCCTCGAGAAAAACAATCCCAAGACACATAATTGTCAGATTCACCAAGGTTGAAATGAAGGAAAAAATGTTAAGGGCAGCCAGAGAGAAAGGTCGGGTTACCCGCAAAGGGAATCCCATCAGACTAACAGCAGATCTCTTGGCAGAAACTCTACAAGCCAGAAGAGAGTGGGGGCCAATATTTATCATTCTTAAAGAAAAGAATTTTCAACCTAGAATTTCATATCCAGCCAAACTAAGCTTCATAATTGAAGGAGAAATAAAATCCTTTGCAGACAAGCAAATGCTGAGAGATTTTGTCACCACCAGGCCTGCCTTACAAGAGCTCCTGAAGGAAGCGCTAAACATGGAAAGGAACAACTGGTACCAGCCACTGCAAAATCATGCCAAATTGTAAAGACCATCGATGCTAGGAAGAAACTGCATCAACTAATGGGCAAAATAACCAGCTAACATCATGACAGGATCAAATTCACACATAACAATATTAACCTTAAATGTAAATGGGCTAAATGCCCCAATTAAATTAGACACAGACTGGCAAATTGGATAAAGAGTCAAGACCCATCAAGTGTGCTGTATTCAGGAGACCAATCTCACATGCAGAGACGCACACAGGCTCAAAATAAAGGGATGGAGGAAGATCTACCAAGCAAATGTAAAGCAAAAAAAAAAGCAGCAGTTGCAATCCTAGTCTCTGATAAAACAGACTTTAAACCAACAAAGATCAACAAAGACAAAGAAGGCCATTACATAATGGTAAAGGGGTCAATTCAACAAGAAGAGCTAACTATCCTAAATATATATGCACCCAATACAGGAGCACCCAGATTCATAAAGCAAGTCCTTAGAGACCTACAAAGAGACTTAGACTCCCACACAATAATAATGGGAGACTTTAACACCCCACTGTCAATATTAGACAGATCAATGAGACAGAAGGTTAACAAGGATATTCAGGACTTGAACTCAGCTCTGGACCAAGCAGACCTAATAGACATCTACAGAACTCTCCACCCCAAATAAACAGAATATACATTCTTCTCAGCACCACATCACACTTATTCCAAAATTGACCACAAAGTTGGAAGTAAAGCACTCCTCAGCAAATGTAAAAGAACAGAAATCACAACAAACTGTCTCTCAGACCACAGTGCAATCAAATTAGAACTCAGGATTAAGAACCTCATTCAAAACTGCACAACTACATGGAAACTGAACAACTTACTCCTGAATGACTACTGGGTAAATAACAAAATGAAGGCAGAAATAAAGATGTTCTTTGAAACCAATGAGAACAAAGACACAACATACCAGAATCTCTGGGACGCATTTAAAGCAGTGTGTAGAGGGAAATTTATAGCACTAAATGCCCACAAGGGAAAGCAGGAAAGATCTAAAATCGACATCCTAACATCACAATGAAAAGAACTAGAGAAGCAAGAGCAAACACATTCAAAAGCTAGCAGAAGGCAAGAAATAACTAAGATCAGAGCAGAACTGAAGGAGACAGAAACACAAAAAACCATTCAAAAAATCAATGAATCCAGGCGCTGGCTTTTTTGAAAAGATCAACAAAATTGATACATCACCAGCAAGACTAATAAAGAAGAAAATAGAGACTAATCAAACAGATGCAATGAAAAATGATAAAGGGGATATCACCACCGATCCCACAGAAATGCAAACTACCATCAGAGAATACTATAAACACCTCTATGCAAATAAACTAGAAAATCTAGAAGAAATGGATAAATTCCTGGACACATACACTCTCCTAAGATTAAACTGGGAAGAAGTTGAATCCCTGAATAGACCAATAACAGGCTCTGAAATTGAGGCAATAATTAATAGCCTACCAACCAAAAAAAGTCCAGGACCAGACGGATTCACAGCAGAATTCTACCACAGGTACAAAGAGGAGCTAGTCCGATTTCTTCTGAAACTATTCCAAACAATAGAAAAAGAGGGACTCATCCCTAACTCATTTTATGAGGCAAGCATTATCCTGATACCAAAGCCTGGCAGAGACATGACAAAAAAAGAGAATTTTAGACCAATATCCCTGATGAACATCGATGCGAAAATCCTCAATAAAATACAGGCAAACCAAATCGAGCAGCACATCAAAAAGCTTATCCACCAAGAACAAGTTGGCTTCATCCCTGGGATACAAGGCTTGTTCAACATATGAAAATCAATAAATGTAATCCATCACATAAACAGAACCAAAGCCAAAAACCATGTGATTATCTCAATAGATGCAGAAAAGGCCTTCGACAAAATTCAACAGCCCTTCATGCTAAAAACTCTCAATAAACTAGGTATTGATGGGACGTATCTCAAAATAATAAGAGCTGTTTATGCCAAACCCACAGCCAATATCATATTGAATGGGCAAAAACTGGAAGCATTCCCTTTTAAAGCTGGCACAAGACAGGGATGCCCTCTCTCACCACTTCTATTCAACATAGTGTTGGAAGTTCTGGCCAGGGCAATCAGGCAAGAGAAACAAATAAAGGGTATTCAATTAGGAAAAGAGGAAGTCAAATTGTCCCTGCTTGCAGATGACATGATTGTATATTTAGAAAACCCCATCGTCTCAGTCCAAAATCTCCTTAAGCTGATAAGCAACTTCAGCAAAGTCTCAGGATACAAAATCAATGTGCAAAAATCACAAGCATTCCTATACATCAGTAACAGACAGAGAGCCAAATCATGAGGGAACTCCCATTCACAATTGCTACAAAGAGAATAAAATACCTAGGAATCCAACTTACAAGGGATGTGAAGGACCTCCTCAAGAAGAACTACAAACCACTGCTCAACAAAATAAAAGAGGACACAAACAAATGGAAGAACATTCCATGCTCATGGATAGGAAGAATCAATATCATGAAAATGGCCCTACTGCCCAAGGTAATTTATAGATTCAATGCCATCTCCCTCAAGCTACCAATGACTTTCTTCACAGAATTGGAAAAGACTACTTTAAAGTTCATATGGAACCAAAAAAGAGCCTGCATTGCCAAGACAATCCTAAGCCAAAAGAACAAAGCTGGAGGCATCACGCTACCTGACTTCAAACTATACTACGTGGTTACAGTAACCAAAACAGATGGTACTGGTACCAAAATAGATATATAGACCAATGGAACAGAATAGAGCCCTCAGAAATAATACCACACGTCTACAACCATTTGATCTTTGACAAACCTGACAAAAACAAGAAATGGGGAAAGGATTCCCTATTTAATAAATGGTGCTGAGAAAACTGGCTAGCCATATGTAGAAAGCTGAAACTGGATCCCTCCCTTAAACCTTATACAAAAATTAATTCAAGATGGATGAAAGACTTAAATGTTAGACCTAAAACCATAAAAACCCTAGAACAAAACCTAGGCAATACCATTCAGGACATAGGTATGGACAAGGACTTCATGACTAAAACACCAAAAGCAATGACAACAAAAGCCAAAATAAACAAATGGGATCTAATTAAACTAAAGAGCTTCTGCACAGCAAAAGAAACTACCATCAGAGTGAACAGGCAACCTACAGAATGGGAGTAAATTTTTGCAATCTACCCATCTGACAAAGGGCTAATATCCAGAATCTACAAAGAACTCAAACAAATTTACAAGAAAAAATCAAACAACCCCATCAAAAAGTGGGCAAAGGATATGAACAGACACTTCTCAAAAGAAGACATTTATGCAGCCAAAAGACACATGAAAAAATGCTCATCATCACTGGCCATCAGAGAAATGCAAATCAAAACCACAATGAGATACCATCTCACACCAGTTAGAATGGTGATCATTAAAAAGTCAGGAAACAACAGGTGCTGGAGAGGATGTGGAGAAATAGGAATGCTTTTACACTGTTGGTGGGACTGTAAACTAGTTCAGCCATCGTGGAAGACAGTGTGATAATTCCTCAAGGATCTAGAACTAGAAATACTATTTGACTCAGCAATCCCATTACTGGGTATATACCCAAAGGATTATAAATTATGCTACTATAAAGACACATGCACACATATGTTTATTGCGGCACTATTCACAATAGCAAAGACTTGGAACAACCCAAATATCCATCAATGATAGACTGGATTAGGAAAATGTGGCACATATACACCATGGAATACTATGCAGCCATAAAAAAGGATGAGTTCATGTCCTTTGTAGGGACATGGATGAAGCTGGAAACCATCATTCTCAGCAAACCATAACAAGGACAGAAAACAAAACACCTCATGTTCTCACTCATGGGGGGAATTGAACAATAAGAACACTTGGACACAGGAAGGGGAATGTCACACACCAGGGCCTGTCGTGGAGTGGGTTAGTGGGGAGGGATAGCATTAGGAGAAATACCTAATGTAAATAACAAGTTAATGGGTGCAGGATACCAACATGGCACGTGTATACATATGTAACAAACCTGCACATTGTGCACATGTACCCTAGAACTTAAAGTACAAAAAATAAGAGAATAAAATATTTCCCCCCTTAGACCTGAGCCCTGATAGTATTTATTTATATTTCTGACCCCCTACTACAGCTTCTTACTTTTGACAATTGTCCTTTTTTTTTTTTTGAGATTGAGGCTCGCTCTGTCACCCAGGCTGGATTGCAACAGCGCAATCTCAGCTCACTGCAACCTCCACCTCCCAGGTTCCAGTGATTATCCTGTCTCAGACTCTCAAGTAGCTGGGATTACAGGCGGCTGTCACTATGCCTGGCTAATTTTTTGTATTTTTAGTAGAGAAGGGGTTTTGCCATATTGGCCAGGCTGGTCTCAAACTCCTGACCTCAAGTGATCCTCCCACCTCGGCCTCCCAAAGTGCTGGGATTACAGGCATGAGCCACCATGCCCAGCCAATTGTCCTTTTTCTAACACAAAATACTTCCATGGTCTGAGCACCGTGAATGAGGCTGTCAAACTGGAAAAGTGAGTTAAGCTGAGATGCAGACCTGCCAAAGTCTCAACCAACACCATAGGGAGCACTGGATTACATATGGCCTATACTCCTGTGGTGCCAAAACGACAAATCTTTTTACTCCACTGCAATCAATTGTTGAAGGTGCATCATCCCAGGAAGGGTGTGCTTTTGGGAGAATCAACTCTCTGCACCTGAGATAAACCCTAGAACATTGGCAGCACTCCAAACAACTAAGGGAAATGAGTCCTTCTTTGAGAGGGAATGTAGGTGGCATTTCTCCATGTCTTATATATCTCAGTTATTATTTATTCAAATATTGCCTCTGCTCTATTGTCTTTCATCCATTAAAAATTCTAATTAAATATATATTAGATCTCCTTATCCTCTCTTCTATTAATACCATTATTTTGCATCTCCATACTTTGTTCTGAATAATTACTTTTTGTTTTTTTATGAGACAGAGTATCGCTCTGTTGCCCAGGCTGGAGTAAAGTGGCACAATCTCGGCTCACTGCAAGCTCCGCTTTCTGGGTTCATGCCATTTTCCTGCCTCAGACTCCCAAGTAGCTGGGACTACAGGTGCCTGCCACCACACCTGGCTAATTTTTTGTATTTTTAGTAGAGATGGGGTTTCACCGAGTTATCATGATGGTCTCGATCTCCTGACCTCGTGAACCACCTGCCTCAGCCTCCCAAAGTGCTGGGTTTACAGATGTGAGCCACCACGCCCAGCGTGTTCTGAATAATTTCTTCTAAATTATTTTCCACTTTACTAATACTCTTTTCAGTTGTGTCAAGTTTGTTGTTAATTTATCCTTCAAGTTCTTAATTTTGGTTATTATATATTTCAATTACAAATAAATTTTGGTTTTTATTTTTAAATCTACTTCGTCAGTTTTTATATTTTTCAATTTGCTCCTTAAATTTTTTAGATTAGCTTTTGTTTCTTTGAATATAGTAAGCAGTTTTGTTACACCCTTATCTGATAATTTCCAAATCTGAAGTTTAGTAGATTCTATTTCTGGTATCTGTCATTTCTTTTTCTTTCTTTCCTTTCTTTTCTCTTTTTCTTTTTTCTTTCTTTCTCTCTTTCTTTCTCTCTCTTTTCTTTCTTTTCTTTTTTTGAGTCTGTTGTTTCTGTTGATTTTCACGGAGACTTGTTTGTTCATGTGTATGCACGTTTGTATGCTGGGTTTTGTATTTGAAAAAAATATTTCTAGAAATAATGTGAAGTCTAGGTTAAAGTTTTATTCCTTCAGAGAGGATTTTCTTTTGCTTCTTCAGAAACCTAGATGTGCTGAAATACAGCCCACCTTAAACCAGTGTCAAGGTTTGGGGTCTTATGGGCTACCAGATGATGGTAAGCCAAGCTGCAGTTTATGGGTGAGCAGGTTTACTTACAGTTCCCCTTTACTCCTAGAAAGCAGCCTCAGGGGGAGTGCATGATCACCAATGTCGCCACTTTGGGCAGCCCTAGGTTTCTGTTTTTGTTCCTCTAACCCTATGAGGCTATCAGAAACATAGATAAGTCTCTTGGCTTCTACATCCAGATTACAAATGTTGCCAGGGCAAAAGGGGTCCCAACTGCTAGATTCACTTCTCTGGGTTTGTTTCTTTTACTGACACTCAGCAGGTAATTGATTACTAGTTTATTATATTTTTAATGCTTTAAGAAAGAATTATTTTTATATATCACCCGGCTTTATTGTTGTCTTTACCAGGGGGATTATCTGAATTACCTAGACATCCATTATCTGGAACAGAGTTCTGTCTCTCTTCACTTGTCTTAATTGAAAACTAGAGTCAGCACCCCTGAATATCAGCGGAATCCACTGCACCATAATCTGTGGATTATGCTGTTAAAGCAAACTAAATATGGCCTGAGAAAGATTCCATACTTTTATATTTGGGTCCTTGTGGAGGAATTGCAACCTAGTTTAATGGGTAGACAAGATTGAAAACCTAACTTAGGAATATGTGCCTATAACAATAGCTGAGTCTTGGCCAATCCCAGTGGCTGTAATTCAACCATTCATACACTGCTGAGTGTTCAAATTGTGTTCAAATAAGGCAAAAACTGAGCTGTAACCCATCCAGCCATTCTGTACCTCACTTCCAATTTCCATATGTCATTCCTTTTTTTTTTTTTTTTAAGAAGGAGTTTTGCTGTTTTGCTCTGTTGCCCAGGCTGGAGTGCAGTGGCTCGATCTCAGCTCACTGAAACCTCTGCCTCCCGGGTTCAAGCAATTCTCCTGGCTCAGCCTCCTGAGTAGCTGGGATTACAGGAGCATGCCACCACAGCCGGCTAATTTTTTTGTATTTTTAGTAGAGACGGGGTTTCACCATGTTGGTCAGGCTTGTCTTGAACTCCTGACCTCGTGAGCCACACACCTCGGCCTCCCAAAGTGCTGGGACTATAGGCGTGGGCCACTGCGCTCGGCCCTCCCTTTTTTTTTTTTTTTTTTTTTTGGTCTATAAATCTTCTTCCACCATGTGACTGCGCTGAGTCTCTGTGAATCTGTTGTGATTCTGGGGGCTGCCCGATTCGCAAACCGTTCATTGCTCAATTAAACTCCTTTAAATTTAATTCAGCTGAATTTTTTCTTTCATCAATGCCCATATTCTGAAGGTGTGAGTGAGCCTATACCAACAAGGTCAGGCTCAAACCTAGCCATTTTCTTCCAAAGTGTTAACCACAGTATTAAATAGCACCAAGGTTTTTAAAATAACTGAGACATTTACACACAAATATATTTTTAAAAAATAGAGATGGCCGGGCACGGTGGCTCAGGCCTGTAATCCCAGCACTTGGTAGGCTGAGGCAGGCGGATCACCTGAGGTCGGGAGTTTGAGACAAGCCTGACCAACATGGAGAAACCCCGTCTCTACTAAAAATACAAAATTAGCCATGCATGGTGGCGCATGCCTGTAATCCCAGGTACTTGGGAGGCTGAGGCAGGAGTATTGCTTGAACCTGGGAGGCGGAGGTTGCAGTGAGCCGAGATCGCGACATTGCACTCCAGCCTGGGCAACAAGAGTGAAACTCCATCTCAAAAAAAAAAAAAAAAAGAGATATAATCCAGTACCTTATATCTGTGCTACACCCTCATACTGTAGACTTTGTATGACTGTACGATGCTCTTCTTTGCATGACTATACAAGGCCCTTCAAAACCCGAGAAAAGTGTTCCTATTCTCATGTCAAAACTTCCTAGCACTATTAATGGAATGAACTGTTGGGGGAAAATGAAATAAAAAAGCAATGTTATTTCCCCTAAATCTTTAGCAAGCACTTGTTGGATTAGTGAATCTTTGCCCTTGCGTGCAAGTCAGAGGATGGCAGCTCAAACTCACTAGAATCCATCTGGTTGTCTCCTCTTTTCTTTTGTCTCACATGCTTTGTTATGTGTCAGTTTAACTATACATATTTTAAAATAAGGACTTTCAGGGCAAAACATCTTACCATATACTATCACCGTAACTTGATGTAAACTTGAACTTAGTATACAGTAAGGCTGAGCTTATAAAATGTTCATTCAGGCTTACGTCAAGTTATGGTGGTAGAATATGGTAAATGAACTTATGTGATCTTATAAACTTAAAAACTGCTTATAAACTGCTCTAAAACTTTTTTTAAAAATTAAAAATAAAACAAATTCAAGGTATGCTCTTCTACTGGATATGCCATCTTAATTTTCTGTAACGGAAACTATCCTTTTGCCAACATCTACTCAGATGACTGGACTAATACAGTCATGCCTAGATCAACCTCAGGGATATGATCTGAAAAATTAGTCATTAGGGCATTTCATCACTGTGCAAACATTTTAGAGAGTATTTAACACAAACCTAGATGGTATAGCCTACTCCACACCTAGGTTATACGGTGTAGTCCATTGCTGCTGGGCTACAAACCACTACAGCATGTTACTGTATTGAATACTGTAGGGCAATGGAACACACAGATACGTATTTGTGTACTTAAACACAGGAAAGATACAGTAAAAATATGGTATTATAGTCTTATAAAACCATGGTCGTACATGTAGTCAGTCATTGACGGAAAGGTCTTTGTGTGAAGCACAAATGTAGTTCCAATTTGAGCATGACATCTTGTTGAAGGTTTAAGAATTAACCTGTATACTGAGAGTACATGTGGCTTCAGGTTGTTCACATACATATATTTTCAGGTTGTTCATACATATTATATGCTATTATAAGGTATTTTAAACTACCATGAACACCACAATAAAACATGGGAAAATGTTAATGATTTATTAGAGGAAAATAACTCAGTTATGAATATTGAAGCCCATTCTAAAGATAGAATTTTTGAAGCTAAAGAATATGCCCTAGATAACTACTATAGGTATTGTAAAAACAATTTGTTTTGAAAACCCAGAGGGCATATTCAAAAACAAGAATCTACCATACAGAAAGGTAGTCGCCATCTCAAAACTCTCATATATAGCAAAGGACTTTGGTCTTCCCAAGATAGCCATTTGGTTGTGCCTAAGTCATTCCCCAGAACTTTGATGTGCCTCGCACATGAAAGCACCCATAAATAATGGCAAGAACAAATTCACTACAAATTTTCAAAATTATTGTTAGAAAATTTTTCTCAAGAAGCTCTATGGGTAGATGAATCTTTTCTTCTCTGTGTTGATCATAACCCTCCAAAAAACTAAAACTATAGCAAGGCTTCAGTTTTCCACCTCCAGTACCATTTGCGCATTTACAAATGGATTTCATTCAGTTTTCCAAAATTTTAAAAAATTGAACGTTGTTTCAACAATATTTTCAAAAGTAAAATTGTGTAATTTGGGTTGGACTGAAGCTTTCTCTTCTAAAAGATTAATACTTTAAGTTAGTGTTGTCAAATAGGGCTTTTTACAATGATGAAAATGTTCTATATCTGTGCTGTCCACCTGGTAGGTATGACATGCCACGTGTGGCTATTGAGCATTGAAATGGGAATAGTACAACAGCTGTTACCAAAACCTAATAACAAGTATCATTCAAAGCTTGCAGATTTTGTTTTTCCAACTGGGAAATACAAAACATTTAGCACTGTTAATGGACAGAGAAATCCACTTCAGTAGTGAAATTCTTAAGATTCTCCCATTAAAACATACACTTTTTGTCCTTATTCTCAAAATCTGAGAAAGCAACACAAATTTATGGTCTTCTTTAAATCAACATTTGAAAACACCATCGCAAAATTACAACTGAGACAGTGAGAGATCTAACCTAACCAATTCCATCTTGCTTCTAACCTCCAAGCTGTCCTTGTTCATTCCTGGTCGTAGGCTGACCTAACTTTGGGAGGAACTTAGTTTATAGTTTAGCTTTGAAACAAAGACAATAGCAGCCCTTTCCAAAACAAACCCGCTTCCTGCCTGGGGACTAGACTGCTTTCGCAGGACTAACAAATTAGCCACAAGATTATAAATTATGGTTTAGGAGTCATGCAGCTGGAGGCTGCAAGATTCTAAACCTCCCCCAATTGCTCCTCAGGATAACATCACTATTGTAAAACCGAAGATCAGTTCTTGAGATATTTTGCAGCCCCTGTACTCTATGGATCAGCTAGCACCACCCATAACGATAAACTGGCTCATCTGGTCTTGTGGCCCCCATCCAGAAATTAAGCCAACACAAGAGGACAGCTTCGACTCCCTCTGATTTCATCTCCGACCCGACTAATCAACTTTCCCAACTCACTGGTCCCCTACCCACCAAATTATCCTTAAAAACTGCAATCCACTTGGGGAGACTGATTTGAATAATAATAAAACGGGTCTCCCACACAGCCGGCTTTGCATGCCCGTCTTGATAAATGGTTCTGTCTAGGCAGTGGGCAAGCTGAACTCATTGGGTGGTTACACATTTTCAAATTTTCAGAGCTTTCCTTAGACTAAAACTTTACCATCAGTCCTAAGGTAGTATGATCCATGCTACAAAACTCGCCATAAAACCTTACTATGTAACACTGCTATAGAAATCTATAAAGTGTTTCCTTCGTAGGAGGGCCGTAGGCAGCCATGGCGCCCAGCAGGAATGGCATGATGTTGAAGCCCCACTTCCACAAGGACTGGCAGCAGCGTGTGGCCACGTGGTTCAACCAGAAGATCCGCAGAATCAAGGCCCGGCAAGCCAAAGGGCGCTGCATCGCCCCGCGCCCGGAGAGTCGGGACCCATCTGGCCCATTGTGCTGTGCCCTGCTGTGCGTTATCACATCAAGGTGCGCGCCGGCAGAGGCTTCAGCCTGGAGCTCAGGGTGGCGGGCATTCACAAGAAGGTGACCCGGACCACTGGCATCTCTGTGGATCCGAGGAGGCAGAACAAGTCCACCGATTCCCTGCAGGCCAATGTGCAGCGTCTGAATGAGTATTGCTCCAAACTCATCCTCTTCCCCAGAAAGCCCTCGGCCCCCAAGAAGGGAGACAGTTCTGCTGAAGAACAGAAATTGGCCACCCAGCTGACAGGACCGGTCATGCCCATCAAGAATGTAAGGAGAAAGCCCGAGTCATCACTGAGAAGTAGAGGAATTGCAAAGCTTTCGCTAGTCTCCGCATGGCCGGTGCCAATGCTTGGCGGCAATGCTCGGCTCTTCGGCATATGGGCAAAAAGAGCCAAGGAAGCTGAAAAACAGGATGTGTGAAAGCAAAAATAAAGCCCTCTTGGGGACTTGTAATAAATACGTTTTAAAAGAAATCTATAAAGTTTAAACTGATTCTTCCTCTGACAGAGAAAGGCAGTTTCTTAACAGATAGAAAACACGTGAAACTGGTGGTCGGTCACTTCCCAATAAGATCTCAGGAGTGGGGAGAAATAACACAAGATTTAGGAACTATGCCAACGTTTACGACCCCAGGTCTAGAGGTCAAGCCGTGCACTTGGTCTCTCAAGTCGCCTGCTTGGCCCTCTTCCAAGTGTACTTTCCTTCATTAGTGCTCTAAATATTTTCAATAATTTTTCACCCCTGCTCTAAGACTTGCCTCGGTCTCTCCTTCGGCATTATGCTCCTCAATCGAATTCTTTCCTTCTCCTGAGGAGGCAAGAATTAATGTTGCTGCAGACTCCTTACAGATAACTGCCACCGCTAATATGTTGAGATGTTCACACATGCATGTGTGAGGCCCTTCAAAATGTGAGCTGCGGTTAGAATTGGGAAGAGAAGGGAGTGGGGATATGTATCTTTGTTTTCTGATTGCCTTCCATATCTTTTAAAACTAGCTAAGTGCTGCTTCAAGTCAGCCAGATACGAAGGCTTCAATTTATTTAACACAATAAAGAACTTCTATTTGGATCCAAAGCTTACATTATGCTTTAATAAAAGTTACCCTAATAAAGTCAGAAACAATAACAATGAGTCAAAGAAATGCATACAAAGTAGGCCAGGCGTGGTGGCTCACGCCTGGAATCCCGGCACTTTAGGAGGCAGAGGCGGGTGGATCGTGGATCACTTGAGTTCAGGAGTTCGAGACCAGCCTGGCCAACATGGTGAAACCCCCGTTTCCACTAAAAAAAAAAAAATTAGCCGGGCATGGTGGTGCATCATGCCTGTAATTCCAGCTACTCGGGAGGCTAAGGCAGGAGAATCACTTGCATCTGGGAGGCACAGCTTGCACGTGAACCGAGATGGTGCCATTGCACTCTGCACTCCAGCCTGGGAGACAGAGTGAGACTCTTGTCTCCAAAAAAAAAAAAAAAAAAAGCCTACAAAAAGCTTACAAAGTCTAAAATCGGACGAACAAGAGGACACCTGATGGGGGAAAAGAAAAGAGATTGCGATGGGAAGAGAGTGGTGGGGAAATCCGTGGGACAGTTTTCCTATTTTCTGGGTCTGTCCCTTGACCAAGGAACAGCTCAAAAAAGAAAGGATCTAAAATAAATTGTAAAAAATTACCTGTGGTTTCGCATTTGTTTTCTGTCTTTTTCTTTCTTGCTTGATCTTCGATAATACTGGGAAATGTAACCAATGTGATTGGGCTTGTTAATTTGGTGCCTTGCTTGTTTTTCGGGTTTTGGAATTCTGCCAGTCTGTGCTTCCGCGGCCTCTTTCATTTTGTCTTTCATCTCTTGACACAGCCACCCAGGGTGGTGTCAAAGCCTTAGAGCAGAAATGCATCAATATTGAAAGCAAAACGGAGCTTGTTTTCCTTGGTTTCCATGTGAATTTGAAGAATTGAGAGAGAATGAAAGTGCCACAAAAACAAAAGAAAAAAAATTGAGGCGAGTCGTGGACATGATAGACATGATTTTGCAAACAAGGCACATCTAGGAGAAAAGGCGGGAGAAAAATGAAGCTGGAGGTGCCGGGGATTGAACCCGGGGCCTCGTGCATGCTAAGCACGCGCTCTACCACTGAGCTACACCCCCCAACGCTCAACGTGGGCCAAAATATTTCTATGACCTGTTACTATTATCGGTCGTGCCAAGAAGCATATTTTGTCGAACTTAATTTTGAATTCGCTATACTGGATATTGTTTCCTGACTGCGCTGAGAGAAGGAAAACTGAATGTTATATCGAAAGTCCCGTGCTGGGCCTGGGATCTCCCGCTGCAGGTCACCCTCTCGGACGGCCGCTCGACAACCACCTATCGGGGTTTATAAGGGAGCCGTCCTGCCTGGCCGCCCCCCAGAGAAAGGTCTGTGATGGGGTGATTCTGCTTGGAAAGGTTGCCAGGAAACCGCGAGCATAACGCAGAAAGATAAAACGAAAGCCCTAAACGCCGCCGTGGGAATTTAAGTCCAAGGGGCAGAGAAAACAGGAGGGGAATTGCAGATCGGCTTGTCCCGGTCGTAGTTACTGCCCCTGCAGGTTCCCGCGCCCAGCCTCGGGATGGAGAACCTGGCACGCTACGTTTCGCGGGCTCTGAGACTCGGGTGGTGAGAGTCGCCGAGATGCGCACTGGGAAGAGAAAAGAGCCAGGACGCACCTGCATTTATGGCGCCATCGCCCGGGCGGAATCCTCCACGGAATAAAAAGTATGCAGAAGCAAGGCGATTTATGACTGCATAAACCCTCCGTGCTCCTGGAGAGTTCTTAGACCTCTCCACTCCTTGGCACAACTGACCTCTCCACTCTTCGACAAACTGGCAAGCGCTTGCCGCCGTTCGCCAAACCTTGGTACGACAGTCAATCCAGAAATGAGCTTCTGGAACAAATCCTAAATCCTTTTTTGTCTGTCTTCTTCTGATTCGCTCTCATCCTTAAGGGACCTGTTTCTCCTTCAAAACCTGAAAACATCTAACCTATAGTACCAACCCCAGATCCAGGCCTGGCCTTCCTGACCAGTCAAAGCCAGTTGGACTGTGCGCCTAGAAGTGGACAGACATGCGAAATGCCATACTGTATACGTACAATGCATAGGCCAAAGGCGACCCTATGACCCAGAGATTAGAAAGACTCGGACGTCTTTTGACTGGGTTCAGGTCACACTACTCCCAAAATACGACACCTCGGCATTTGAGAAAACAGCAGAAGCAGAAACGTTTTTCTCTGGGCCCTTGTTCCGTGAAGCGGGCCATGAAAGCTACCTGATCTTCCAATTAAAGTAGGTGATAAGACCGTCAATTCAGAGGGGAGAAAATGTACTTGGAGGAAATAAACGAAGACACAGAGATGCCAAAGAGAACCTGAATAAACAGGCTTTGCTAAGTTCACCCCAGTTTATAACCATTAGATCATACCCCCTTTTATCCAATTATACTGCTATGGGACTATCCACTTCATCAAACCTAAGCATAAAAATATAGGAAGTCCTCACTTATTGTCAGTTGGTTTTTGGAAACTATTACTTTAAGCAAAATAAAACTAATTCTACCATAGACTAGACTAATTGATTTAAGAGTTAATTTTCTTGGCAAATGTCTGATCACAAAAACACCAAATTTCTAAATAAGGACTCCAAACACTTCTAACACTAAATATTGAAAAAAATATGAGCTGCACCTCAAGTTAAGATCAGCAAAAACGACATGATTGATTTATTTTTGGTGAATCAGTGACTGCAATTCTAGTGGTGGCAGGTTATATCAAGGAATAAATGTTTGTGAAATAGCAGTTGTAAGGAGCAACTCCTACTAACACACAATTCGTAAAACATTGTGTCCGGAATTGGCGGGTTCTTGATCTCACTGATTTCAAGAAAGCCACAAGTCCTCCGGATGAGTGTTACAATCGTTAGATGCGGTGTAGCCAGAGTTCATTCCCTCTGACGTTCGGATGTGTTATAGAGTTTCTTCCTTCTGGTGGTTTGGTCTTCTACTGGCTCAGGAGTGAAACTGCAAACCTTGGCAGTCAGTGTTACATCTTCTAAGGCGGCGCCTCCGGAGTTGTTTGTTCTTGCCCGAGAATTCATGTTTTTCCTAACTTCAAAAGATAAGCTGCAGACCATCAACAAATTACAGCTCATAAACGTAGTGTAAACCCAAAGAACAATCAAGATCCATCGCAGAGAGCGAAAAATCACTTCCGCACCGTGGGAAAAAGCCCGAACACGTTGTCGCAGTTGGTTCCGGCAGCCTGCTTTTATTATCTTGTCTGGCCCCACCCACATCCTGCTGATTGGTCCATTTTACAGAGAACTGACTGGTCTGTTTTACAGAGAGCTGATTGGTCCATCTTCACAGAGTGCTCATTGGCGCGTTTACAATCCCTGAGCTAGACACAAAAGTTCTCCAAGTCCCCACCAGAGTAGCTAGATACAGAGTGTCCATTAGTGAATTCACAAACCCTGAGCTAGACACAGGGTGCTGATTGGTGTGTTTACAAACCTTGAGCTAGATACAGAGTGCCGATTGGTGTATTTACAATCCCTTCGCTAGACATAAAGGTTCTCCAAGTCCCCACCAGAGTAGCTAAATACAGAGTGTCCATTGGTGCATTCACAAACCCTGAGCTAGACACAGGGTGCCGATTGGTGTGTTTACAAACCTTGAGCTAGATACAGAGTGCCGATTGGTGTATTTATAATCCCTTAGGTAGACGTAAACGTTCTCCAAGTCCCTACCAGACTCAGGAGCCCAGCTGGCTTCACCCAGTGGATTTTCCACCGGTGCCGCAGGTGGAGCTGCCTGCCAGTCCCGTGCTTTGCGCCCGCACTTCTCAGCCGTTGGGTGGCCGATGGGATTGGGCGCCGTGGAGCAGGGGGCGGCGCTCGTCGGGGAGGCTCGGGCCGCGCAGGAGCCCATGGCGGGGAGGGGCGTCTCAGGCATGGCGGGCTGTAGGTCCCGAGCCTTACCCCGCGGGGAGACAGCTAAGGCCCGGCGAGAAGTCGAGAACAGCAGCTGCTGGCACAGGTGCTAAGCCTCTTACTGCTCGGGGCTTGCGGATTAGGGGGCCGCTCCGAGTGCGGAGCCCGCCGAGCCCACGCCCACCCGGAACTCGCGCTGGGCCCGCAAGCGCCGCGCGCAGCCTCGGTTCCCGCCTGCGCTTCTCCCTCCACACATCCCTGCAAGCTGAGGGAGCCGGCTCCGGCCTTGGCCAGCCCAGCAAGGGGCTCCCACAGTGCAGCGGCGGGCTGAAGTTCTCCTCAAGCGCGGCCAGAGTGGGCGCCAAGGCCGAGGAGGCGCCTAGAGCAAGCGAAGGCTGTGAGGGCTGCCAGCAAGCTGTCACCTCTCAGTATGGCGGCTGGCTGTTTTAGCACCATGTCGTTTATTGTCATGCATTTGTAGGATTATGAAATGCTTCCTGAATTTTGCTTTTACAGTAACTTGTATTCATTCATGCATTTTTCAACCTGCTCACTCCAGTTCAAGGTCTTTGGTGGCTGAAGCCTAATTCAACTCCTCATAGTGTCAGGAGGGAACCCACCGTGGACAGGTGGCCATTCCATCACAGGGCGGGCTCATACACACACACACACACTCACACATATGCTCGCGTGCTCTTTCACTCAGACTGATGACGCTAGACTCAGACTAGATATGCTAATGAACCTAATGTGCACATTTTTGGGATGTGGGAGGAAACTCAGACAGTGGCTTCCAGGAGAAATAGACTTTTTTCTCATCAACATTATAACAAAATGATGTTGAATGAAACAACGTTATTCAAGGGTCTGCTGTACGCAGATTTTCCTATTTCTTTAGGTCTTCATTTTTGAAGGCTCTTGTGTCAATAAAATTTGTTTGATTTGTATGCTTTTCCTTTTTTTTTTTTTTTTTTTTTGTTGTTGAGACAGAATTTCACTTTTGTTGCCCAGGCTAGAGTGTAATGGCGCGATCTTGGCTCACCACAACCTCCGCCTCCCGGGTTCAAGCGATTCTTCTGCTTCAGCCTCCCGAGTAGCTGGGATTACAGGCGTGTGCCACTATGCCCAGCTAATTTCGTATTTTTAGTGGAAATGGGGGTTTCTCCATGTTGGCCAGGCTGGTCTCAAACTCCTGACCTCAGGTGATCCACCAGCTTCAGCCCCCCAAAGTGCTGGGATTACAGGCATGAGCCACCCCACCCGGCCTGCTTTTCCCTTGTTAATCTATCTTTTATTATGAAGTGTCAGCCATGAACCTGGCACTGGGTGGGAAAAGATGTTTTTCTGCCCTAGACCTTCCTATAAGTGCTTTTGGGACAACACTGCAGGAGTCCCCAAAGGTGAAAATTTACCTGCGGGAGTTAATAAAAACAGGAATCCCCAGGCCTTACCCCAGAGACTGAGATGCTGAGTGCTTTCAGAGTCTCCAGAAAAGGGCCCAGGAATTATTATGGGGTGACAGATGTCACAGCTAGATCGTCCTCACATCTATGGAATATTGTGTTATTTAATATTTCCCAGTTGAATTTGATATTCAGGCAAGTTTGAAAACCACTGGGCCTGAAAATCTAGCCACAACAGAAACTGAAACTAGGATCTGGGGAAAGTTAACAAGGGGAGGAGAAAGATTGGAAAGTATTACAAGAAAAACTTGGGATTGTAACGTTCCCCCCAAACTGGGAAGGTCCCGGAAGACCAAAGACAGTCCAGCTTAATAAGCAGGTGAGTTTAGTAGGACTTAGATACAGGGTACTCCTGGGTGCAGCAGGATAGCTCTAGAGATCCATGCCGCCTCCTGTCTTTAAACTGTTTCTAAGTTAATTTTCTGGCTTTTTGCCTACTGTGTTTGAGCAATGAGACTGTTTTTCTTGGTAGGTTCTCAGATACTCTCTGGGATGTTTGTGTTCTCAAGGACACCTGCTCCTCTGCTGGGCATCGTGGCCTTGGCTCACCACTGGGCCTTCAGGGTTCAGGCAGTAGACATACACTCTTAAGTGACATGGTGGGTGATCTGTCATGCTGCAATCCACCCTGCCTCCCATTTCTTACATTCTTTCTGCCAATCTTGTGTGAGACTCCTTGAGTAGGGTGGAAGGAAAGAACTATACAGGTCTATAACGTCTAGCCATGGCTTGCGCATACAGGTCA
Source organism: Homo sapiens (assembly GCF_000001405.40). Classification (NCBI taxonomy): domain Eukaryota; kingdom Metazoa; phylum Chordata; class Mammalia; order Primates; family Hominidae; genus Homo; species Homo sapiens. The sequence continues at coordinate 134,343 of NT_167246.2, forward strand.
CATCTACAGTATACGTAGGAGCACAAAAAGCAGAAGTTAACTACAATTATAATGTCTATTAGCAAAACCTAATTCCCATGACTAGAGAAGCTGTGTAACCAATTTGAGAATGAGTAAAAGAAACCTAATTAGGTTATATCATGGATCTGAGTTGACAAATGGTTTAAAGTACCTCTGACATTACTCTCTTCATCAGGGAAATAGGTGCAACAGTTAGCACCTAGAAAGGCACATTTTGGGTCTTTGTCACGTTGGTGATTGAGCCTCTAGGTGGAGGCAATCCTTAGTGAGCCCGGGTTGCATTATCAGTGCTATTGTACAAGTCACTCCAGTTCTGTCAGGAGAAAGGCAGAGTATTTTAAGGCATATCATTATTATTTTATAGGGAGAGGTATCTGACTGGTTGTTGACTGCTTCTGGAGTTGCAGCTCAGTCTAGAAAGACATTACCAGCTGCCATGAGTAGCAGGAACAACCTATGGGTATAAACACAGGTGGTTAGTAGGAACTCTCACAGGCGTATTCACTCCTTGCAACATTTTTTTTTTTAATTTTTTTGAGACAGAGTCTTGCTCTGTTGCCCAGGCTGGAGTGCAGTGGCACGATCTCGGCTCACTGCAAGTTCCGCCTCCTGGGTTCACGCCATTCTCCTGCCTCAGCTTCCTGAGTAGCTGGGACTACAGGCGCCCGCCACCACATCTGGCTAATTTTTTGTATTTTTAGTGGAGACGGGGTTTCACCGTGTTAGCCAGGATGGTCTCGATCTCCTGGCCTCATACTCCACCCGCCTTGGCCTCCCAAAGTGTTGGGATTACAGGCGTGAGCCACCGCGCCTGGCCACACCTTGCAACATTATTATCATTGTGTTTTCTCCCACTGGCACTATTAGGGATGCCACTGTGGGCTTCAGGCCTGGATTACAAAACCACCCATGTCTTCTTTTCCTAGAAGCAGCCACAATAGCCAATTGATAAGTTTCCAGCCTTGCCCATGCTATCCATACTATAATTATTCCAGCAGGTATGGGTGCTGCCATCTGTTGATAAAGTAAGTCTCTCGGAACTCTATCAAGGAGCACAGCTGGGACCACTGCCCCTATGGCAGTTATCATGGCACCACCCTCCAGTACTATAAAACTAATCCAGTATGGAGGCATATTCCAGCTCAGCTTCAGGTCCCTGTAGCCATCACTGCTTGGCAGATCCACTGGTGTTCTCAGGAGCATGTCTCACCATCTGCCTCAGGAGCATGGCTCAGTGTCTTTGAGGTAACCCCGAGAGTTTGTGGGACATGTCTTACAGGCCTTGCCAACCATTTATAAGGAGTGATGCCATGTGTGCTAGTGGGTGACTCATTTAAAGTTTGTATGGCTTTATGGAGATTCTTAGTCCAGGAACTTAAAGAGCCAACCTGAAACAGTGCACACATCTGGGTCTTTAACAGGCCATTATTTCTTTCTGTAAGTCCTGCCTCTGTTGGATTGTGGTGGTAAGTGGAACCTCCAGTCTATATTTTCTTCTTTTTTATTTTGAGACAGAGTCTCGCTCTGTTGCCCAGGCTGGAATGCAATGGTGCGATCTCGGCTCACTGCAACCTCCGCCTCCCGGATTAAAGCAATTCTCCCACCTCAGTCTCCCAAGTAGCTGGGACTACACGCATGCGCCACCACGCCTGGCTAATTTTTGTATTTTTAGTAGAGATGGGGTTTCACCATGTTGGCCAGACTGCTCTCAAACTCCTGACCTCAAGTGATCTGCCTGTCTCAGCCTCCCAAAGTGCTGGGATTACAGGCATGACCCACCGCACCTGGTCCAGTCTATATTTTCTTCTGATGCCCAGTGTTGGATATCTTTGCTATGCCCATCAATGTACCAGGGCCTAGCAGATATTGGCGGGGTACCCTTATATATGGTGGTTGGCCTGATGGGTGGCTCCACTGCCATGTTGGCTCCCTCCCATAACTGAGACCAAAACCCTATAGGTACCATTCCCATTAGTTGCTTTTGCCCCAAACCTAAATTCATCCCTGTGACATCTCTGGTGATTACTAATACAGCAGTAGAGTCTGTATGCTTGGGCTTGTTTCACCAATATTTTTGTTTTGTCAAATGCCTCTTGTTCTATTTATGTCATCTCATTTTTTACCTGTCTTTATTAGGGTGTATAATGGGTGGAGTATTTGTGCCAGATGAGGAATGAATATCCTCCAGTAGCCCAGTAAACCTAGGAAAACCTGGAGTTGCTCTACTGTCTGGAGAGTAGACTACTATGCTATCTTATCAATGACGGCTTTGGGTATGTTTCACATCTTACCCAACCAGGTAACTCTCAGGAATTTGACAGGCATGCCAAGCCTCTGTATATTTTTGGGGTTGATTTTCTATCCCTCCTTCAGGCTGTCCAAAACAGTTTGTAGGATAGTCTCCAAATCTGTAAGAGACTCTAGGGTAGCATGTTATCATTAATATAGTGAAACAGGGAGACCAAGGCAGGCAAAGAGATTATAGACAGCTCCTGTGTAACCATACTGTGAGAGATGGCGGGGCTTTGCAGATGCCCCTGTGGTGACACCTGGAAAGTCCATTCTTGGTCCTCCTAAGTGTAGACCAACTGGTCTTGTGAATCTTCAGCTGAAAGAATACTGGAAAAGGTATTAATGCAGTCAGTCACAGAATGGATACTTCCCAGCTTCGGTACTGCTTGCTCTAGCAGTTGAGCAATATTGGATACAGCTGCATGTACAGGGCGTACCACTTTGTTCAGCTAGCGGTAATCCACCATCATCTTCCAGGCATCACCTGGCTTCTTCACAGGCCAAACAAGGCTGCTGTAGGGGCTCTGGGCCAGTCTGACTATTTGTACCTTATGTACTTTCTGGATTGTTTGGGTGATTTCAGAGTGCCCCCCCAATAGCAGGAAGTATTGTTTCATGTTCATTACCTGCAAGGATACAGGTGCATATTTGGCCTATCCCCTTTTTGCTTTCTCTGTGGACCTGATCGTTATTTTTATCCAGCTCACTGAGGTCTGCCAATGCTTCCCCCCATCACAGATTTCATTTCCCACTAAGAGGCTCAGAAGTGTTGTCTGAAATTGGTGGGTTCTATGGTCTCACTGACTTCAACAATGAAACCGCAAACCCTCACAGAGAGTGTCACAGCTCTAAAGTTCGCGGGCGTGGAGTCTGTCCCTTCTGATGTTCAGATGTGTCCGCAGTTTCTTTTTTCTGGTGGGGTCGTGGTCTTGCTAGCTCAGGAGTGAAGCTGCAAACCTTTGCAGTGAGTGTTATACCTCATAAAAACAGCGTGGACCCAAAGAATGACCAGTTGGAAAATTTATTGCGCATAGTGAAAAAAACAACGCTTTCACAGTGCAGAAGAGACAACCCAGCGGGTTGCTAATGCTGGTTCGGGCAGCCTGCTTTTATTCTTTTATCTGGCCCCACCCACATCCTGCTGATTGGTAGAGCCGAGTGGCCTGTTTTGTCAGGGCGCTGACTGGTGCGTTTACAATCCCTGGGCTAGATACAAAGGTTCTCCTCGTCCCCATTAGATTAGTTAGATACAGAGTTTCCACATACAGGTTCTCCAAGGCCCCACCAGAGCAGCTAGATACAGAGTGTCGATTGGTGCACTCACAAACCTTGAGCTAAACACAGGGTGCTGATTGGTGTGTTTACAATCCCTGAGCTAGATAAAAAGACTCTCCACGTCCCCACCAGACTCAGGAGCCCAGCTGGCTTCACCTAGTGGATTCCGCACTGGGGCTGCAGGTGGAGCTGCCTGCCAGTCCTGCGCCCTGCACTCGCATTCCTCAGCCCTTAGGTGGTCGATGGGACTGGGTGCCGTGGAGCAGGGGGTGGCGCTCGTCCGGGAGGCTCGGGCCGCACAGGAGCCCACGGAGGGGGGTGGGAGGCTCAGGCATGGCGGGCTGCAGGTCCCGAGCCCTGCCCCGTGGGAAGGCAGCCAAGGCCCGGCGAGAAATCGAGCACAGCGCCGGTGGGCCGGCACTGCTGGGGGACCCAGTACACCCTTCGCAGCCACTGGCCCGGGTGCTAAGTCCCCCATTGCCCGGGGCCAGCAGGGCTGGCTGGCTGCTCCGAGTGCGGGGCCCACCAAGCCCACGCCCACCCGGAACTCCAGCTGGCCCGCAAGTGCGGCACACAGCCCTGGTTCCCGCTCGTGTCTCTCCCTCCACACCTCCCTGCAAGCTGAAGGAGTGGGCTCCGGCCTTGGCCAGCCCAGAAAGGGGCTCCCACAGTGCAGTGGGGGACTGAAGGGCTCCTCAAATGCCACCAAAGTGGGAGCCCAGGCAGCGGAGGTGCTGAGAGCAAGCGAGGGCTCTGAGGACTGCCAGCACGCTGTCACCTCAGTGTGACCAATGCCCTATATTATAAATGCCATTTTTTGAATTGGAAATGATCCAGACATTCAACAAGTACTTAAAACAATTTTAAGGTTTTAAACTACACAAAAAGTTCACCCGTAAGCATTTATCTCTTACATTTACTCAATTTATTCATTTTTAGCAGTTTACCTAGATTACTCATTGGAACGAAGACATTAGACAAAGTTACTCATCATTCTGAATTATTTTTTCTGTTAAACTGTGAATGTCAGGTGTTCACCTAGGCAAGAACTTTAAAGTTAAACACATGGGCATTTTTGCCAATAACTCAGGAATTTTAGCTGTTTTCACTGACCTAACAATATTAAATTAGTCATACTTACCAAAAAATCACACAAATAAAGATCATTCTGTTTTTGGCTGGGTTTACAGACTTATGATCTTTAGGTCAAACCCTGACACCTTAAAATATCTAGCAGAGGCAAATGTAAAACTAATTGGTAAACTGAGACAAAAACGTATGCTGACAATTCAAGGACATTTCTATTTTTATTTTACCAATAATTTTAAAGCCAGATTATTTATTAAAGATTACTAAATTCATATGAACTTGAAAAGCATTTGGACTTTATGAGTACTCATTTATGTATAAGCCATTTGGTAGTATGCTAGGCATAACACATAATATATATACATACACATAAACACATTTAAGCATGTATCTATACACACAAACCAATATCCAACAGCTTTTACTTGGAACTCTAGCCATGAGACAACATCATAAATTTACTATTTTACAAAAGATAGTTGGATCAGGCCGGGTGCAGTGGCTCAAACCTGTAATCCCAGCACTTTGGGAGGCCGAGGCAGGAGGATCACCTGAGTTCAGGAGTTGGAGACCAGGCTGGCTAACATGGTGAAACCCCGTTTCTACTAAAAATACAAAAAAGTAGCTGGGAGTGGTGGCGCACCCCTGTAATCCCAGCTTCTCAAGAGGCTCAGGCAGGAGAATCACTTGAACTTGGGAGATGGAGGTTGCACTGAGCCGAGATCTCACCGTTGCACTCCAGCTTGGGCAACAAGAGTGAAACTCCATCTCAAAAAAAAAAAAAAAGGAAAAAAAAAAAAGAAAAGCTAGATCCAAATTATTTTTCACAAAATTGAGACCTGTCCACAAGACTAGACTTTGTTTGCACTGATAGGTAATCCAATAAAGACTGTGGAACACAATTTTGGGTAAAGCAGTTTCTATACCAGTTTGATTTTTAAAATCCTCATTTATCCACATCCCCTTTTTTCTGTGCTTCAAATGAGTTTCATTGTTTACATTTTAGTAAGAACTGGCTGTACTGTAGAGAAAAGTAAAATCTCCGAGTGGCTTTGAATTAGTGAGTTTTATTTCAACACCAATAGCTTAATAATGGCATATTTGAGTGTTGGGGTGATCAGACCCAACACCAGGTCGTGGGGGCGACAAAGTCCTGCAGAGTCACAGAAATGAGAAAAAGACAGTTTGAGAGAGAAAGTGGGACTAAGTGGCC
>NT_167246.2:2271406-2306671 GCF_000001405.40 Homo sapiens
GGCCAGGGTAGCTGCTGATTTTCCCTTCTTCCTCCTCCTCTTCTCCTCCTCCTTTTTCTTCTAATTCTTCCTCCTCTTCCTCTTCTCTCTCCCTCTCTGCTTTCTCCTCCGCCTTCTTATTTTCTTAACCATGATAAAATATACATAACTTACAATACATCATTTTAGCCATTTATAAGAGTAAAGTTTAGTATCATTAAGTACATTCATGTGGTTGTGCAACCATCCCTGGTAATTTCTTCTTGATTCTCTGTCCCGGAACTACTAAACTCAGGCTGGGTTTAGCATAATCGTTGCCTGTGTACTTGAAAAGTGGAGAGTTGCTGACCTCTGATGGGTAGCTTGGTCTTGCTGGGCAAACCCTTCTGGAAGCTGTTCTAGCACAGCTCAGCCACCACTTGCACGGACTCCTGCTGTGCTGGAGCTCTCCTGACACAGCTTTCCCAGCTGCACAGTCGTTGCTATGTAGAGGAACTAATACTTGAGCGACTATTTTCTTATAGTTGGATAACTCTGTTTCCTTATAAATATTTTTCTTTATAAATAGAGAGTGCTGTCCCATCAATCCTGCATCCTTATACTAGCAGTCCTGAGGCTTTTCCTAACTGTTCAGCTGCCTGTTGAGGCATTCCACATTTTTAAATGCATTGCTGTTTGTTGGTATAACCGTACAGCCTTTTCTGGGTCTACATTTTCTCTGAGCTTTCCAGCTTGCTCCAATGCCTCTGAGGTTGCTGTGTCAGTGCTGCTGTTTTTTAGATCCATCAAAGGCTGGGATTTCTGCATTTCCTTCAACATTGTGTCAACTAGGTTGGGCGCGGTGGCTTACGCTTGTAATCCCAGCACTTCGGGAGACTGAGGTGGGCGGATCACTTGAGGTCAGGAGTTCATGGCTAACATGGTGAAACCATCTCTACTAAAAATATAAAAGTTAGCCGGGCGTGGTGACGTGTGCCTGTAGTCCCAGCTACTCAGGAGGCTGAGGCAGGAGAATCACTCAAACCCAGGAGGCGGAGGTTGCAGTGAGCCGAGATCACACCACTGCACTCCAGCCTGGGCAAAAAGAGTGAAACTCCATTTAAAAAAACAAAACAAAACAAAACAAAAACAAGAAAACATTGTGGCAATTTGCTCAGAAGCGCTACTTTTCCATATTCAGAAGGGCACTGTCACAGTACGGCTTCCATTTTGAAAAACCAGTCTGCAGGTATTTCTTTGCTTTGGGCCTCTCATTTCTTTTTTGGTCCTGCACATGGTCCTGCATGGAGGACAGGAGGGACTTTTCCTTTTGGCCCCTGAAAGAGTCCCAGTCAGCTATGCATAGGTTTTTCATTTCGGACATCATCCATTTACTTATTCATGGTCTCTCTCCCTTATTTGAATATAAGCTCTGTATCAACTTTTCAATCACTGTATCCCATGCCTGGCACATCATGTGGCCCACAGAAGGTTCTTAAGGAATATGTTTGAATAAATGAATGAGAAGGCCTGGATGCAGAGAGTGTATATCAGAGAGAAACCCAGACTAATCCCCCAGATTCTTCTCTAATCCATTCCCAGTGCTACCACTTAATCTAGTATGTTATACTAGAAGAGTAAATAAATGAAAGTAAGAAAGACAGGAAGGAAGGAGGGAAAGAAGGAAGGAAGGGAGGGAGGGAGGAAGAAGGAAGGAAGGAAGTAAGGAAGGGAGGAAGGAATTAAAGAAGAAAGGAAGGAAGAGAAAGAAAGAAAAAGAAAGAGAGAGAAAGAAAGAAAGAAGGAAAGAGAGAGAGAGAGAGAGGGAGGGGGGAGGGGAGGGGAGGGGAAAGGAGGGGAGGGGAAGAAATCTTCCCAAGGACTTTTCCCCCTAGTATCTCCTTGTGTCTCTTTACAAACTGCCTAACTCATCAACTTTCACCACCTGAAGAGGCTGGAAAAAAGCTGGCCTCCTGTGAATTTTACACCCCGGTGCTCTCAGATGGTGGATGAGAACCTGCAGGCTCCCTTCAGGCAGGGATCGTGTGCTGAACGTCCCAAAGAGTGATGGGGGACTTGCACCAGAGTGTCTCTGCTCAAGCTGCCCTCCTATGACCTCCTTGTCACTTCCACCCAGACAAGGGGATTCTTCTGATCAGTCCAGATGACCTGGATGAAGTTTTCTTTCTTTCTTTCTTTTTTTTTTTTTTTGAGACAGAGTTTTGCTCTTGTTGCCCAGGCTGGAGTGCAATGGCACGATCTCGGCTCACTGCAACCTCTGCCTCCTGGGTTCACGCAATTCTCTTCCCTCAGCATCCTGAGTAGCTGGGATTACAGGCATGCACCACCACACCTGGCTAATTTTGTATTTTTAGTAGAGACGGGGTTTCTCCATGTTGGTCAGGCTGGTCTCGAACTCCCAACCTCAGGTGATCTGCCCGCCTTGGCCTCCCAAAGTGTTGGGATTACAGGCGTGAGCCACTGTGCCTGGCCCTGGATGAGGTTTTCAAACAACACACTTTCCCCTAATCTGATGAGACCCAACTATCCTTAGTGTTATAACACACACAGAGATAATGTGGAGCCTCCTTAACATAGGTTAGATTTTATTTCACCTAGGCAAGTACAGTTCCAAAAAACATTATGGCAGAAAGGACAAGGTGCCAAGAAGATCGATCAAATGACTCATGCACTACAGAAGCACAGCTGAATCAGCAACCGGGCCCTTAGCTGCGGAGGAAACTGCAAATGCTGAGCCTCTGAAATACATGATTCCAAATAAAAGGTAACGACACCAGCAGTTCTGCTGATGTAAAGGAAACAAGAAAGACATATGCACGATGCTCCTAATTAAATATCAAAAATGTAAAGTAGGTGTCGTATTTGACTAAAAATTGATATTTTTCAGGAAGGACTATGCCCCCAGGGCCCACTGTAGCCTTTGAGACCATGGTGGAGTCTGTGTCCACAATGGCCTCAACCACAGGCTCTGAGAGTACCTCAACCTCTGGGATCATCGCCATCTCCACCATGGACTCTGAGACCTCCATAGGCTCAGAAGCCACCACAACTATTGTTGCAGCCTCTGAGGTTACCACACCCTCCACCACAGCATCTGTGCCACTGTGGCCTCAACCACCGGCTCTGAGAGCAGCACGGCCTCTGAGATCATCACGTCCTCTACAATGTCTGTGTCAGCCACAGCCTCCAGCACAGCCTCCAGCACAGCCTCTGAGATCACCATGAGCTCTGCAGCCATCCCAGTCTCCTCCACAGCTTATGAGACCATCAGGTTCTCCACTGCAGTGTCTGAGCCAGTGACAGCCTCTATCCTGGCCCTTGAGTCCACCCTGGCCTTCACCACGGTCTCTAACACCACCACATCTTCCACAGTAACATCTGTGCCCACCACAGCTTCCACCTCAGGCTCTAAGAACACAACAGCCTGTGAGGCCACCATGTCTGAAACTACCATTGCTGCCATCACAGCCTCCGAGGACACCACAGTCTCCACTCAAACCTCTGTGATAGCTGCAGAGTCTGTGCCCCACACAGCCACCAAAACACCTACTGACACCACCACAGCATCTGTGTCCGCCACAGTCCCCAAGAACAACACACTCTCTGTGATAACATCTACACCTTCCACAGCTCCCAACACAGCCTCTAAAACCATGACCACAGCTTCCAAGACCGCCACGACCTCTACGATAACATCTCTGCCCACCACAGTCTTCACCACAACCTCTAAAATCACCGCAGGCTCTGAGATCCCCACAGCCTCCACCACAGACTCTGCGACCACTGCAATCTCCACAAAAGCCTCTGGGACAACTGTAGAGTCTGCGCCCTCTACAGCCCCTCCAACACCTGCTGAGACCACCACAGCATCTGTGCCCACCACAACCTCTACCACAGGCTCTGAGAACACCGGACACCACACAGTATCATCTGTGCCCACCACAGTCTTCGCTACAGCCTCTGAAAGCAGCACAGGCTCTGAGACCACCAGAGCTTCCACCTCTGCCACTGAAGTGACTACAGCCATGACCACAGCCATGACCACAGGTTCTGAGACTGCTGTGGTCTCCACCAAAGCTCCTGTGACAACCACACAGTCTGGGTTCTCCACAGCCACCGTAATGCCTGCTAAGACCACTACAGCGTCTGTGTCCACCACAGCCTCCACCACACTCTATCAGAATACTATAGACTCCGTGGCCAAGTCTGTGCCCACCATGGACTCTACCATAGCCTCCAAGAGCACCACTCTCTCCAAGATAGTATCTGTGCCTACTGCAGTCTTTATCAAAGCGCCTGAAACCACCACAGGCTCTGAGATCACTCTGGCTTCCATCATAACCTCAGGAACCACTGCAGTCTGTGACTACATTGGCCTCTAGCAAAGATTCCGAGATCCCCACAGCCTGGATGATAACCTCTGTGCCTACTGTAGCTCCCACCTCAGCCTCTGAAACTACTGAGGACTTCTCCACAGCCTCTGAGTCCACCACATCCTCTTTCAAAATATTTGTGTCCACCACATCCTAGCCTCCACTATGGCCTTTGAGGCCACATCAACCTCTGAGACCCCCACTACCTCCACAATAGTATCTGTGCCCACAACAACCTCCAAAATAACCTCTGAGAACACTGCAGGATTTTTATCCATGATGGGCTCTGAGACCACCACAGCCTCCACTACAAGATCTGAGACCACTACAGCCACTGAAACCTCCACGGCTTCCCTCACAGATTCTGAGACCCCCAGTGCCTCCATAATAGTATCTATGCCCACAACCGCCTCCTCCACAGACTCTGAGACCACCACAGCCTCCACTGCAATATCCACGAGCAACATGGCTGTGAGCACAGCCTCTGAGGTCACTTCAGGGTCTGGAAGCAGCATGGCTTCCACCACAGGCTCTGAGGCCACCATGCCATCCACAGCAGCATCTGTGACCTCCACAGCCTTCGCTTTGGCCTCATCGCCCTTCTTGGCCTCTACCACAGCCTCTGGGGCCACTGCAACCTCCACCACTGTCTCTGCCACTTTCGTGCCCACCAAGGTCACTGACATTTCTACTCAGACCATCACCAAAACAGTTGTGTCAGGTACTAACCCCCATGTCTTCTCTGATCACACACATTTTAATTCCAATGGCAACCACTAGCTCTTCACCTGTTTCTATCATCTCTGCCCTGTCTCAAGTCAAGCCTGTACACTGTTAGGTATCATTTCCTGGAGGGCCCCTAGAGGCGAGGTTGAGAGTGTGACCCATGAGGAGATGTACTACACTCGAAAAGAACTGCTTGAATTTTCTAATTTATATAAACAGAAATCTGGAGAACAGGCATTAGAATGGATATGAAGGGTGTGGGATAATGGTGGAAGGAACATAGAGTTAGGTCAGGCTGAATTTATTGATTTGGCCCCACTAAATAGGGACTCTGCATTTAATGTTGCAGCTTGGGGAGTTAAAAAGGGTTCTAATAGTTTATTTGCTTAGTTAGCTAAAATATGGATTAAAAGATGGCCCGCTGTGAGCAAGCTGATCTCCCTTGGTTTAATGTAAATGAAGGGATCCAAAGGCTTAGGGAGATTGGGATGGTGGAGTGGATTAGTCAATTTAGACCTACTCATCCCAGCTGGGAGGGTGCAGAAGATATACCCTTGATGATGCTTTGCAAAATACATTTGTGAGGGCAGCACCTGCATATCTGAAGAGCCCTATAATTGCTCTTCTCTGTATGTCAGATCTAACAGTGGGAACCGCCGTCAGTCAACTGCAAAATTTAAATACAATGGGAATAATTGGATCCAGAGGTGGCAGGGGCCAAGTGGTAGCACTCAAACATCGAAGGCAATGTGGGTGTAGGTACCATAATGGACAGCAGAGGCAAAGTGGCAATCAGAATAGTCCAACTCATGCAGAGCTCTGGCATTGGCTAATTAATCACAGTGTTCCTAGAAGTGAAATTGATAGGAAGCCTATTGCATTCCTATTTAATTTATACAAGCAGAGAACTTCTAGGCTGAATGGACAAAAGACTAATTTGAATTATAAAAACAGAATCACGGCCCCTCAACCAATTTCCAGACTTGAGCCAGTTCACAGACCCAGATCCCCTTGAATGAACGGGAGGCCGGGTCCCCTTGAGGAAGGACCCCACTACATTACCAACAATTTGTGCAGTGAATCTTTCTCCCATCCTTCCCCAAGACCTCTGGCCTTTTACCAGGGTAACTGTGTATTGGGGAAAGGGAAATGATTAGACATTTTGGGGACTACTGGACACTGGCTCTGAGCTGGCATTGATTCCAGGAGACCCAAAATGTCATTGTGGCCCTCCAGTTAAAGTATGGGCTTATGAGTCCGGGAGTGGTGGTTCATGCCTGTAATCCCAGCATTTTGGAAGGCCAAGGCAGGTGGATCACGAGGTCAGGAGTTCGAGACCAGCCTGGCCAAAATAGTGAAACCCTCTCTACTAAAAATACAAAAATTAGCCGCGTATGGTGGTGCACGCCTGTAGTCCCAGCTACTTGGGAGGCTGAGGCAGGAGAATAGCTTGAACCTGGGAAGTGGAGGTTGTGGTGAGCCAAGATCTGCCACTGCACTCCAGCCTGAGCAACAGAGTGAGACTCCGTCTCAAAAAAAAAAAAAAAAAAAAAAGTAGGCGTTTATAGAAGTCAGGTAATTAATGGAGTTTTAGCCCAGGTCTGACTTATAGTGGGTCCCGTGGGTCCCTGGACTCATCCTGTGATCATTTCCTCAGTGCCAGAATGCATAATTGGCATATACTTAGCAGCTGGCAGAACCCCTGCATTGGCTCCATGACTGGTAGGGTGAGGGTTACTATGGTGGAAAAGGCTGAATGGAAGCCATTAGAGCTGCCTCTACCTAGAAAAATAGTAAATAAAAAAAAAAATCACATCCCAGGAGGGACTGCGGAGATTAGTGCCACCATCAAGGACTTGAAAGACACAGGGGTGGTGATTCCCACCATATCCCCATTCAGTTCTCCCATTTGGCCTGTGCAGAAGACAGATGAATCTTGGAGAAGGACAGTGGATTATCGTAAGCCTAACCAAGTGGTGACTCCAATTACAGTTGCTGTACCCCATGTTGTTTCATTGCTTGAGCAAATTAACTCATCTCCTGGTACCTAGTATGCAGCCATTGACTTGGCAAATGCCTTTTTCTCCATTCCTGTCCATAGGCCCACCAGAAGTAATTTGCCTTCCGCTGGCAAGGCCAGCAATACAGCTTTACTGTCCTGTCTCAGGGGTATATCAACTCTCCGGCTTTGTGTCATAATCTTATTCAGAGAGAACTTGATCACTTTTTGCTTCTGCAAGATATCATACTGGTCCATTACATTGATGATATTATGCTGATTGGGTCCAGTGAGCAAGAAGTAGCAAACACACTGGACTTATTGGTGAGATATTTGTGTGCCAGAGGATGGGAAATAAATCTGACTAAAATTCAGGGAGCTTCTACCTCAGTAAAATTTCTAGGGGTCCAGTGGTGTGGGGCCTGTCAAGATATCCCTTCTAAGGTGAAGAAGTTGCTACATTTGGCCCCTCCTACAACCAAGAAAGAAGCACAACGCCTAGTGGGCTTACTTGGATTTTGGAAGCAACACATTCCACATTTGAGTGTGTTACTCCAGCTCATTTATTGAGTCACCCGAAAGGCTGACAGTTTTGAGTGGGATCCAGAACAGGAGAAGGCTCTGCAACACGTCCAGGCTGCTATGCAAGCTGCTCTGCCACTTGGGCCATATGACCCAGCAGATCCAATGGTGCTTGAGGTGTCAGTGGCAGATAGGGATGCTGTTTGGAGCCTTCGGCAGGCCCACATAAGTGAATCACAGCAGAGGCCTCTAGGATTTTGGAACAAGTCCTTGCCATCTTCTGCAGATAACTACTCTCCTTTTGAGAGACAGCTCTTGGCCTATTACTGAGCTTTGGTGGAAACTGAACATTTGACTATCAGTCATCAAGTCACCATGTGACCTGAACTACCTATCATGAACTGGGTGCTTTCTGATCCATCTAGCTATAAAATGGGTCGGTGTGCGGCAGCATTCCATCATCAAATATAAGTGATATACACATGATCGGGCTCAAGCAGTTCCTGAAGGCACAAGTAAGTTACATGAGGAAGTGGCTCAAATGCCCATGGTCTCCACTCCTGCCACCCTGCTTTCTCTTCCCCAGCTTGTACCGATGACCTCATGGGGAGTTCCCTATGATCAGTTGACAGAGGAAGAGAAGACTAGGGCCTGGTTCACAGATGGTTCTGCACAATATGGAGCACTAACCGAAAGTGAACAGTTGCAGCACTACAGCCCCTCTCTAGGACATCCCTGAAGGACAGCGGTGGAGGGAAATATTCTCAGTGGGCAGAACTTCAAGCAGTGCACTTGGTTCTGCACTTTGCATGGAAGGAGAACGGTCAGATGTGTGATTATTTACTGATGCATAATCAGTAGGGGGTTTGGCTGGATGGTCAGGGACTTGGAAGAAGCACGATTGGAAAATTGGTGACAAAGAAATGTGGGAAAGAGTTATGTGGATGGACCTCTCTGAGTGGTCAAAAACTGTGAAGATATTTGTATCTCATGTGAGTGCTCACCAACAGATGACCTCAGCAGAGGAGGATTTTAATAATCAAGTGGATACGATGACCCGTTCTGTGGATACCATTCAGCCTCTTTCCCCAGCCAACCCTGTCATCACCCAATGGGCCCATGAGCAAAGTGGCCGTGGTGTCAGGGATGGAGGTTATGAATGGGCTCAGCAACATGGACTTCCATTCACCAAGGCTGACCTGGCTATGGCCACTGCTGAATGCCCAATTTGCCAGCAGCAGAGACCAACACTGAGCCCTCAGTATAGCACCATTCCTCAGGATGATCAGCCAGCTGATTACTGGATTACTGGCTGGACTTCTTTCATCATGCAAAGGGCAGAGGTTTGTCCTCACTGGAATAGACACTTACTCCTGATATGGGTTTGCCTATCCTGCATGCAATGCTTCTGCCAAGACTACCATCGTGAAGTCACAGAATGCCTTATCCACCATCATGGTTCCACACAGCATTACCTCTGGCCAAGGCATTCACTTTACAGCTAAAGAAGGGTGGCAGTGGGCTCATGCTCATGGAATTTACTGGTCTTATGTTCCCCATTATCCTAAAGCAGCTGGATTGATAGAACGGTGGAATGGCCTTTTGAAGTCACAATTACGACATCAACTAGGTGACAATACTTTGCAGGGCTGGGGCAAAATTCTCTAGAAGGCTGTGTATGCTCTGAATCAGTGTCCAATGTATGGTACTGTTTCTCCCATAGCCAGCATTTCTGGGTCCAGGAAGCAAGGGATGGAAGTGGAAGTGGCACCACTCACCATCACCCCTAGTGATCCACTAGCAAAATTTTTGCTTCCTGTTCCTGTGACATTACATTCTGCTGGCCTAGAGGTCTTAGCTCCAGAGGGAGGAACGCTGCCACCAGGAGACACAACAACAATGCCATTAAACTGGAAGTTAAAATTGCCACCTGGACACTTTGGGCTCCTTCTACCTTTACGTTAACAGGCTTAGAAGGGAGTTACAGTGTTGGCTGCTGTGACTGACCTAGACTATCCTGATGAAGTCAGTCTACTACTCCACAACGGAGGTAAGGAAAAGTATGCATGGAATACTTGAGATCCATTAGGGCGTCTCTTAGCATTACCATGCCCTGTGATTAAGGTCAGTGGGAAACTACAACAGCCCAATCCAGGCAGGACTACAAATGACCCAGACCCTTCAGAAATGAAAGTTTGGGTCACTCCACCAGGAAAAAACCATGACCTGCTGAGATGCTTGCTAAAGGGAAAGGGAATACAGAATGGGTAGCAGAAGAAGGTAGCCATCAATACCAACTATGACTGCGTGACCAGCTGCAGAAAGAGCACTGTAATTGTCATGAGTATTTCCTCCTTCTTTTGTTAAAAACACGTTTGTACATGTATACACTTGTACTAAGAAAATATCTTCATTTTATTTCCTTTCTCCTTTATTATGTGATGTAAGATTTATTGACTTCACATCAGCATTTAAGTATTATTAACTTTGCGTAATAGCATATGGGCTGGGGATTGGTGCGTTTCCGGTTGTATGAAGGATAGTTGTATTATGTTGGGCATAATTATGACCTTATTATTGTCTTTATTTGAAGATTATGTATAATCTCAGGAGATGCGCATGGGTTCAAGTTGACAAGGGGTGGACTTATGATGGTTAATACTGAGTGTCAACCTGATTGGATTGAAGGACACAAAGTATTGATCGTGGGTGTGTCTGCGAGGGTGTTACCAAAGGAGATGAACATTTGAGTCAGTGGCCTCAGAAAGGCAGACCCACCCTTAATCTGGGTGGCACAATCTAATCAGCTGCCAGAGTGGCTAGAATTTAAGCAGGCAGAAAAATGTGAAAAGAGAGACTGGCCCAGCCTCCCAGCCTACATCTTCCTCCCGTGCTGGATGCTTCCTCAGTTTTGGAACTCGGACTGGCTCTCCTTTCTCCTCAGCCTGCAGAAGGCCTATTGTGGGGCCTTGTGATCATGTGAGTTAATATTTAATAAACTCCGCTTTATATATATTCCATCAGTTCTGTCGCTGTAGAGAACCCTGACTAATACACCCCTCTTCCAACATTGGAGATTACAATTTGACATGAGATTTGGGCAGGGACACAAATCCAAATCATATCACCTTGCTCCAGTCTAAGACCAAACAATTATGTTCATTCTCTGGCACTTTCCATCAGCAAGCCGGTTGCATCTGATTCTATCCTCTTCGTTCTGAGCACCCTCACCTCTATTCTGGTGACTGGTGCTGTTTGGGATCCTATTTTCACCACTTCTGACCTAGGCACACCCATTGCTATCAAAGCCACCACCACTGCCTCTGCTGTGTTGATTCTCACTCGCACCTGTCTGAGCCCACCCTCTCCTGTCCCTGTGAGCAGCCTTCTCCACTTGGGTCAGGTCCTCCCACATCTGCCCAAGCACACTCACCCCACCTTTGCTGACCACCACAGTGTGGTAGATGATGTCACCTCTGTCCCAGCCACGGCCACTGGCATGCCCATGAATGAATCCAATTCTGTCATCTCCTCCTCCAGCTCCCTCCTTACACCCAGTGATCACAGTCACAAAAGAAGCAGGGCCTGCCACTTTGTATACAAGCCCGCCCTCTTCTATTTGGGTGGCCACTTCCGAAGTCAAATAGATCTTCCACTTCCATACCCATCACGGTCACGTTTCCTCAACCTTCTGCCTCCTCCATCACCAACTCCACCAGGTGACACATTCTACCTCCTCCTCTGTACAACACCCACCTCTATTGTGAGGACACGGCCACAGAGGAATGGCTTTCTACCATCTCTCCTCCCCCACCACCCCTCTCCTGAGCTACTCTCACCATAGACATGTTAGATTCACCCCGCTCTGCTCTAAGCGCTCCCACTCCCCTTTAATTATCTCTGCTATGAATGCATCATGTTGTGTGACCCCTGGAACCAGTCCTACCGCCCCTAGCTCTGTCACCATGGCCCCTGGAATGGACTCCATGGCCTCTGCTGCAGCCATCCTGTGACCGGAATAGTCTCAAACACCTCTGACCTGGGTACATCCACTATGGGAGCATCATCTACCACCTCAGCCCCCAGCTTCAGGACCACTACAGGATCCACCCGTGAGCCAACCAGCAACACCTCCCAGTAAACAGTCCCAGTGTCCACGGGCACAAATACAGTTAGCGTGAGCCACACATCCAAACATGTGATCAAACTGAGTGGACATTTACAGCCCCAGGCCATCATGCTCATTTCCCTGGCTGTAGTCATGGTTGGTGTTGGATTGTCAGTAGGACTGAGGTTTTGCCTTGTGAGTGACTGAGCATGGAAATGGGCAGAGCTTTCCTGAGAAGATAGATCACGAGGAGGATTAGAATTGACGGAAGAAGGGCCACTAGGCTATTAGCATGGAGAGGGGTCTGGAGAGTCACTTGTACCCTAGTCCAATCGACCAAGAGTGCAGGAGCAAATGTATAGTCCCATGAAGTCAGATTTATCAGTTAGTTGCAAAATGGGAGGCTGTATACCAGGGAGCTGAGGAGCTTCTCACCAAACAACGGAAATGTCATTACAGTATTGGGGGAAATGTCATTATAGTATTGGGGGAAATGTCATTATAGTATTGGAGGAAAGTGTGGATTTTTGGTGAAATTTAAATGAAAGAATTTTAAAAGGCTCAAAAGAAAGCAGGGCTGTTTGTAAAGGGGTCACCGGCAGCTTGAAACTGTGAAATAGATTATTTCCTTGGAAACTACAGTTAAAATGAACGTGGAATGTTGTATTCAGAGAAACCCCTTATCTGTACCCCAGTTGGAATTGGAGGCTGCTTCTCTGTGTCAAAGTCACTTAGAGTTTCCAGACAAGAATGGGATATTTCCTTCTCACTGATTTAGAATCAAACAGCAAATTTGTAATAGTCTGCGATTTTAGAGAATGAAATTTTTCATTGGCTAAATCACTGCAAGTGAGTAGGTCACTGGAAGTGAGTAAGGGCTGTGATACTTCACAGCTGCAGTGCGCCCTGGGGAAAAATATTCCTCTCAGTGCCCCTCACAGCTGGCCACCTATGCTGTTATGCATCTACCTCCTGATGGACAGTGGCCGACTGCTGCTTTCGCAGTCTGATTTTTACTGTCTCACATAGCGTAGTATAAAGACCAGGGAGAAGGAGAAAGACAGAAAATATAAACGATAGATATAGCAGGAAGAAAAAAAGAAGAAGAAGAAGAGGAAGAGGCCGGGCGTGGTGGCTCACACCTGTAATCCCAGCACTTTGGGAAGCCAAGGCAGGAGGATCACCTGAGGTCAGGAGTTCGAGAGAAGCCCGACCAAAATGGTGAAACTCCATCTCTACTAAAAATACAAAAATTAGCCGGTGTGGTGGTAGGCACCTGTAATCCCAACTACTCGGGAGGCTGAGGCAGGAGAACTTCTTGAACCCGGGAGACAGAGGTTGCAGTGAGCCGAGATCGCGCCACTGCACTCCAGCCTGGGCTATAAGAGTGAAACTCCATCTCAAAAAAAAAAAGAGGAAGGGGGCCCCAAGTGAGAGGAAAGTGTCTGGGTATGAATAGGAGAGCATTGAGAATATGATGGAAAATGTGTCTTATAAAATAGCTGGGAATGTAACACTAGAAAAAACATCTTTGGAAAGTGATGAACATTTAGGTCCTCAACAGGTTTTTCACTTTCAAGACAGACAAAATCATAAGCTCCTTCCAGGGTGAGAGTGGGGCACGTCCCACCTCATGCCTTTATGATTTTACCCAAGTGAAAACAAATTCACTTTTCCAGGTACCTCTTAGCACAACTCAAATAGGCTAGAGATTTCAAAACTCTTCACGAAACACTAAGGGAAGTTGACAAAGAAATGCCCTTCTGGAGAATGGAGGCTGTAGAAACACTCCCCCTGGTGTAGGGGAGGGTTTGACGTTCCAGAGGCCCCAGCCCTCCGCAGTTCTTGGTGCCAATGTGACAGCCACTGGCCAGCAGCAGACTGTGTTCTATTGTCCATCCTGGTCTTAATCTTCTATTCAAATGTATTTCTCTTGTTCTATTTTAAGAAATAGAACATTTGTATTTTCCCATTTTGGCTTTATGTATTCCTGTATGCAGTCTTGTAAATTTGTAGGAGGAGCCAGAGTGAGTACACAATACATAAATGAGAAATTCACACAAGCCACAAACAGTTAACATAATTTACAATCAACTTACCTGAGTTTCTTATTTCAGAGTCTCTGACCCCTCCCTAAGGGAAGAACAATATGTGACTCACCAGCCATGAGCAACCCCCTAAATGTTTAAGATAAAGATGTAATATTAGTTAACTAGCATTTTATTAGCTATCTACTAGGTATGAGGTCCAGGGCCCAGAGTGCTTAGAGAGCATCATCTCTCCTTTGCTCTGCTCAACCACCCTTGGGGATGTGTACTCCTATTATCCCATTTTATAGACTAGAAAACTGGAAGCAGAGACATAAGTAACTTGCTGAAGACCACAGGACAAGGCCACGCAGAGCTAGGCTCTAATTCTGGTCCACTTGACAGCAGAGCCTGTGTTCTTAGCCAGAGTGTTTGTTTGTTTTTTTGAGCCGAAGCCTCGCCCTGTTGCCCAGGCTGGAGTGCAATGGCACAATCTCGGCTCACTGCAACCTCCACCTCCCGGGTTCAAGCAATTCTCCTGCCTCAGCCTCCTGAGTAGCTGGGATTACAGGCATGTGCCACCATGCCCGGCTAATTTTTTGTATTTTTAGTAGAGATGGGGTGTCACCATGTTGGCCAGGCTGCTCTCGAACTCCTGACCTCATCATCTGTCCACATCGGCCTCCCAAAGTGCTGGGATTACAGGCGTGAACCACCGCACCTGGCCCACAGTGTTTTTTAGATAGTTCTCCAACCTTTAGCTCTTTATGGCCTGTCTCTTATTTTTCTTTATCTTTAAAAATTGAGGTGTAATTCTTACCAATAAAAAATGATAAGTATGCAAGGCAATAGGTATGTTAATTTGATTTAATAATTTCAAAATGTATACATATATCAAAACATCACATTGTACACCATAAGTATATGCAATATTTATTCACCAGCTTTGAAAGTGGGAAAAACACAAACTGTGTTTCCTCTGCTCTCACACCACCACCAACACAAAACACTTCTGGTGACCAAATTAAGAGGGGAAGTTCTTCCCACACTAAGCAAGCAATCAGTTCTGCAGCAGACACCAGCTCGGTGTCCTCCGATTCAGTGCTGGCACTGCCTACCTGGAGATAGCATCAGATCCACAGACTAAGCGCGCAGTCCCTCAACACCAACCGCTCCTTCCCACAGGCTGCCAAGTCCAGGCCTCTGGAACTTCTGACCAACTGGAGCAAGTTGGAGTTGGCTACTCCTGTTTGGTTTCGATTAATTTGCAGGAGTGGCTGACTGAACTCAGGGAAACACCTTTACTGGTTTATTACAAAGGATATTACAAAGGATACAGGTGAAGAGGCGTGGAGGGAGAAGGAGCAGGGAGCTTCCATGCCCTCCCCAGCACCCCATCCTCCAGGAACCTCCATATGTTTTCTGAGCCCTGGCCTTTGGGGTTTTTACAGAGGCTTCATTATGTAGGTATACCTGATTAAACCTTGGCCACTGGTAATCAACTTAACCTTCAGTCCCCTCTCCTCCCTGGAGGTTAAGGGTTAAAGGGTGGTGCTTTGGTCTTTCCGGTGATTAGCCCCCATCCTGTAGCCAACAGTTGACTCATTCGCATACAAAAAAAAAAAATCACTTCAGTACCTAAGGATTTTAGGAGCTGCATGCCAGGAAATGTGCAGAAGTCCAAATATATGTTTCACGTATCAACTTAATACAGTTGGGAGAAAGGTTAAAAGTTAAATTACACTTAAAAATAAAAAGAACAGCCGGGCGCAGTTCTGTAACCTCAACACTTTGGGAGGCTGAGGCGGATGGATCATCTGAGGTAAGGAGTTCAAGACCAGCCTGGCCAACATGGGGAAACCCTGTCTCTACTAAAAATACAAAAATTAGTCGGGTATGGTGGCTTATGCATGTAATCCCAGCTATTCTGGAGGATGAGGCAGGAGAATTGCTTGAACCTGGGAGGCAGAGGTTGCAGTGAGCCGAGATCGTGCTACTGCACTCCAGCCTGGGTAGCAGAGCAAGACTCTGTCTCAAGAAATAAAAAAAAATAAAAAGAACAATATTAATTGAAAAAAATAAATACTGTTCACAGATGAAAAAATTTTGAACTATAATTTACAAAAGTACACAAATATTATTTGTACAGCTTGATTAATTTCAAAATGTGTTAACACTTGTACAACCATTACCCAACTTAAAATGTAGAATATTTCTACCATCTGAGTAGTTTATTTTGTGGCCCTTCCCAGATAATACCCACTCCATCAAAGGTAAGCACTATTCTAGCTTCCATTTTATGAACTTTAAAAAAAAATTTTCATTTTAATTTTTGGATGGGGTCTCACTCTGTCACCCAGGCTGGAGTCCAGTGGTGCCGTCTTGGCTCACTGCAGCTTCTGTCTACCCAGAGATAGAGCTGGGTTCAAGTGATCCTCTCGCCTTGGCCTCCCAAAGTACTAGGATTACTGGCATGAGCCACTGTACCTGGCCTTATGAACTTTTATTTATTTTTACCTGACCTCATAGACATGCAACCTTTTTGGTTGATTTACACAATAAAAGATTCCCTACTCTTAGCTGACTCTGTTCCCAGGTACAGGATGCAAATTTACCTTGTCTTGTTTTTTTTATTTTTGTAGAGATGGGGTTTCACCATGTTGCCCAGGCTGGTCTCTGGAATGCCTGGGCTCAAGCAATCCACCTACCTCAGCCTCCAAAAGTTTTGGGATTACAGGCACGAGCCACCATGCCCAGACTTATCTTGTCTTGAAAGTTGAGCAGCATAGATCCCTACCAAGGTACAAGTATACTAATTAGGAAGACTGTTTTCTCCAATAAATAAATAAATAAGAGGAAGAGAGTCCTAAATATCATCCACACACACACACACAGGAAGACTTGATGAGAAAATAGACAATATTGAAAAGTGAAAATTTATGAATTTTGATAATCCAAGAAGGTTTAATGATAAGAAAGAAAAGGAGTTAACTACTAATATATATATTTTTCTCTTTTAGAAGGATCTTTCTTTACCCTGACAAATAGAGGCATTTATAACCTCCATGACAACAGCCTTGACCTTGGTTTATACCTGGACTCAGTCCTGGGCTCTGGGACATTCCACAGCCTGGGAAATGCACTCATTCATGGAGGGGGACTTGAGATGGGACACACAGGAACACATGGCTTTGGACATGGAGTGGGCCATGAGCTGAGCCACAGCCATGGAGATGGCTGTGGAGTGAATCATGGTGGGCGTTATGGACTTGGAGGAGGCTACAGCAATAATCATGAAATGCATCACAGAGAAGGTCGCCAAGGCAAAGGAGAGTATAGACATAGACTGGATAATGGAAGGTGCTATGGAAAAGAAAATCTTGGGGAAGAAGGGGGATCATGGAGGAGAAGGTAGTGACCATAAAATGGGTCAGGATGGGCTTCTCTGAGGTCTCCAAGGAATTGGCCATAGAGATGGTCATGATCAAAATCAAGAAAAGAACCAGAGAAAAGAGCACAGAGGGTTTGGCCAACGGGACAGTCAGAAAAATAGGGAGTGGTTCTGGAGGAGACCTGCAGCCTCACCAGCTTTGGGTGTGAGCTCAAGTGAAAATATCCCCTGAGCATAACCATGGTTCCAACTCTTGTGGGGAGGAGGGGTCACGATGATCAAGCTCAGAACAATTTCTCTTTGATCTCTCAACACACAAGTCAGAACTCTTTAGGCTTTGGCTTTCTATCGTTTCCTCAGGATGGAACCTGACCAGTAGGAGGAAGAATAAGATTATCACAGTTTATAATAATGGAGGGGGTAAAAAATTTCCCCTGAGAATTTGTAATTACACAACTTTCTTTATTTGGATTTGTAACTTCAAACTCTACAAACTGAGTAGATCAGAAAATCCTGTTAGACTCACTCAGTGCCCTCCAGTTCTTCATCTTTGGGAAGAGTCTCCCTCCCTACTTCTTTGCCTCTTTCAAATGCTATGTGATAAGTTAGAAGAAATTTACTGGGACAGTGCTACAAATTAAAATCTCAAAATACACCTGGCATCTATGTATTTATGTATTTATGTTTGTCTTTTTTATTTTCCCTTTGTCCTTTATTATTGCATGCTTATTAAGTGCCAAACACTATGCTAGTGCCTGTAAATACATCACCATTTATTTCTCAAAACAATCCAATGACAACTTAAACTTCTTGCTATATAATGGACTACGTGCCCTGACTGAAAATACACTGTAAAGCTAAGTTATGGACTTCAAAATCTTCTTAAAAGAGTCAGTGAATTGGCATGAAAGTATGGAATGCTAAAATTAAAGACTAAATAGGACCCAGGAGGTAAGGGAAGTACTGAAGCCAACTTTTGCAAAACCCAAAGAACTTAAGCTTCGGGTATTACAGCTTCAGCTGGATCAGCCCAAGGTCATGGGTGGGGAGGAATCACATAAATCTGTAACTTTCAGTGAGAATGTAAACTAAAAATAAACCTGCCCCTCCTCTAAGGAAATGTAAGCAAAATTGCCTGTCTCTAAATTTGGTGCAGAGGAGGGTAGAGGGAGTATCCCTTGAGAAATAAATTGTAACCACAACAACCAACAATACCTTACTTACATGGTTTGTAGCCACAAATCATGCAGTCTAGGTAATTCAAAAGACCGCAATCCTATAGTTTAACTTAAAATAATCCTCAAATTATACAGCATATATATGTATTAAAACATTAAATTGTACCCCATAAGTATATACAGTAACAATGTTAATAAAATATTTTAATTAAAAATATAATAATAAAATAATCCTCAAATGGTAATGTCTCCATATGCTTGGAAAAAACATGCAAATTCTCTGTGAAAGATCGTAGCTTAATCTGTAATTCCAGAAATTTGGGAGGCCGAGGCAGTAGGATTGCCTGAGCCCAGAAGGTCAAGGCTGCAGTGAGTTATGCTAGTGCCACTGCAGCCTTGATCTCGACAGATAACATTCCAAGAAAAATAAATTTATAGTCATGATTCTCAAATCATAAGTGAAAACAGACACCCTGAGTGAAAACCAGCAAGGAAGAAAACAAAACCAAAAAGCTAGACAGCAGTATCAGATCCTCAAAGACTTTAGGTATTGAAATTATTAAATACAGAATATAAGGTAAGTAGGTTTAAATGTACGTCCTGGCTTTATTTTTAATTTTTTTTATTTTTACTTTTTGTGGTACATAGTAGGTGTATATATTTATGGGGTACATGAGATGTTTTGATACAGGTATGCAATGTGAAATCAGCACATCGTGGAGAATGGGGTATCTATCCCCTCAAGCATTTATCCTTTGAGTTACAAAAAATCCAATTACACTCTTTATGTTATTTTAATATATACAATTAAGTTATTATTCACTATAGTTACCCTGTTGTGCTATCAAAGAGTAGGTCTTATTCATTCTTTTTAATTCATTTGTTTTTTTAAATTAATTTAATTCATTTAATTAATTCATTCATTAACCATCTCTACCTCCCCCAGTCCTCCCCACTACCTTTCCCAGCCTCTGGTAACCATTCTTCTAGACTCTATGTCCATGAGTTCAGTTGTTTTTGATTTTTAGATCCCACAAATAAATGAGAACATGCAATGTTTGTCTTTCTGTGCCGGGTTTTTCACTTAACATAATGATCTCCATGTCCAGCGATGTTGTTGCAAATGACTGGATCTCATTCTTTCTTTATGGCTGAATGATGCTCCACTATGTATATGTACCACGTTTTCTTTTCTTTTCTTTTTTTTTTTTTTTTTTTTTTCCGAGATGGAGACTTGCTCTGTCATCCAGGCTGGAGTGTGGGCAGTGGCTCGATCTGGGTTCACTGCAACCGCTGCCTCCCAGGTTCAAGCAATTCTTCTGCCTCAGCCTCCCGAGTAGCTGGGATTACAGATGCCTGCCACCACGCCCGGCTAATTTTTGTATTTTTAGTGGAGATGGGGTTTCACCATGCTGGCCAGGCTGGTCTCGAACTCCTGACATCATGATCTGCCCACCTGTGCTTCCCAAAGTGCTGGGATTACAGGCATGACCGTGCCTGGCTCTTTTTTTTTTTTTTTTTTTTTTTTTTTTTTTTTGAGATGGAGTCTCACTCTGTCGCCCAGGCTGGAGTGCAATGGCACAATCTTGGCTCACTGCAACCTCCGTCTCCCAGGTTCAAGCAATTCTCCTACCTCAGCTTCTCGAGTAGCTGGGATTACAGGCGCCCGTCACCACACTGGGCTAATTTTTGTATTTTTAGTGGAGATGGGATTTTGCCATGTTGGCCAGGCTGGTCTTGCATTCCTGAGCTTATGATCCACCCACTTCGGCCTCCCAAAGTGCTGGGATTATAGGTGTGAGCCACTGCGCCCGGCCTGTACCACACTTTCTTTATTCATTCATCCATTAATAGACACTTCCAAATCTTAGCTATTGCAAACAGTGCTGCAACAAACGTTGGAGTGCGGATATTTCTTTGATACACTGATTTCTTTTCTTTTGGCTACCTCCTCAGCAGTGGGGTTGCTGGATCATGTCACGGCTTTATGGTTGTCTGCTAACACCCATTCTCCACCTTTAGCAACAGATCTCTCAAGTGTCAGCTGAGCACACGTCTACCCAGCTAGAGACAGTCTTTCTCAGTTTCTCTTGCAGCTTAACATGGCTGTGTGACTGCGTTCAGGCTGAGGGTGTGTAAGCAGACAACAATAATTTTTTTTTTACAATAATCTTTCATGAAGTTAAAAAACAAGATGGAATTAAAATACTTGATGATATTAGGGTATGATTTGGGAGATGGGTAATACGAATTAAAATGTTCTGAGGTCTTTGTGTTATTTTGATAGCGAGTAAAGATATTAATTACATTAGGCTCTGATAAGTATGCGCGCTACAATTTTCAGAGTACCCTCTAAAAGGTGAAATTTGGACTTGAATCCAGGATCTCAGTTTCTAAATAATTCTGGAAGAAGAAAATTCTTAGAGTGCTATTGGCTTTTCAGCTGCAGAATACTGGCACATCAGAAGAATTGCTGGGAGTCCAGGACCCAACCTGTCACTGAGCGTTCCCGCATACCTGACCCTCTGGAACTTCCCATCACAGCCACTAGGCAGACTCACTTCTGAGCCTTTCCCAGCACACCGCTGACCCTTTCTGTTTCTCCAGCTCACTCATTCAGAGCTCCTTCATGTCTTCAGCCACCTCCTGCTTGCCAGCTTCCTTCTAACAGAACTTGCATGTCAGGAAAGCTCGTTCGCCTACAAATAAACTATCTGAGAGACTGTGTCTTCCAGGAAGCTTCTCGTCATTGATGGGGGAAATGCAGACAACTCACTTTGGTCATTGCAATGGTTTGGATGTGGTTATTAAACCCTGCCAAGTCTCATGTTGAAATTTGATTCCCAATGTTGGAGGTGGAGCCTGGTGGGAGGAGTTTGGGTGGTTGAAACAGATCCCTCATGAACAGCTCGGTGCCATTCTCAACCAGTGAGTTCTCACTCTTAGTTCCCACAAGAACTGGTTGTTGAAAAGATCCTGTCACCTCCTCCATTCCTTCTTTCCAGCTTCCTCTCTCTCGCTATATGATCTGTGCAAACCGGCTCCCCTTCTCCTTCGGCCACAAGTGGAAGCTTTTTGAAGCCCTCACCAGTGCAGACGTTGGTGCCATGCTTCTCATACAGCCTGCAGAACCGTGAGGCAAATAAGCCTCTTTTCTCTATGTCACCCACAGTCAGGGATTCCTTTATAGCAACACCAATGGACTATGACAGAAAATACAGACTGTATATTGGAACCCCATCAGCCTGGTCACAGATGCCATCTCAGACCTCCCCAAACCCTCTGCTCATTTGGGTCTCTTCAGTCACGCTCTTTTAGCTGACTGTTTCCCCTCTGCTGGCCATATCCAAGTGTCCAGACCAAATTCAAGCCTCCTCCAGGACTTGGACTGTTGATCTCCCTCCTCCCATCAGACTGTGTCCCGATATGGCACTGTGTCTCTCCCTAAGGTGTGTACTCTCCTGAGAGACGCTTCCTTGGAACTGATGCTAAGGCACATCAGAAGGATCTCAGGGTGGAAAGGCTCCTATACAGCCGTCTGAAAACAAAAACAAAACAGAGGGGAGCTCCTATGGTTGAGGGTCAGAAGGAGACCCTACCTTCCTTCTCCTGCTATGAGTCTGACAGGGGGCGTATTCAATACTCTCCCACACCCTCAGTTCTCATGCCCCAGAGACCCCAAACATGTTTTCATTATCTCTCTTCATTATGTCTTCTGGATCTCTCTTCCCCTGTTCCTTCAATGTGCATTGTTGAGTGCCTACTGCATACTCAGTAACACTCCATTTGTCTTCTGCCCATAACCCAGGAGCCCAGAGTCCTAGTTACTGGTCTCTTTTGCGTCACCTATTACTGTTTGCTGTAGAGATGTGAGGTCCTACTCTCTTGGCTCAGTTCATTAGGGCTTCTTTCATGCTAAAGCAGGCCCACAGGACTTCCTGACCAGAAAACAAATTCTTGAGCTGGAACAGGTTTCTAACCCGATCCCTGCTTCAAAGGGTGGGTCCCTTCCACTCTGACAACCATGATCTCCTCATCCCATTCTACTTCCTGCTGCAACCCAGCCAAGCACCCTGCCTAGTGTGGTCATGTCATTCTCCTTTCTCACCTTCCTCTTGACCCCCGCTCTATTCCGTCCCAGGCTTGGTATCGTTCTCTCACCTGCCTGTAGTTGGCAGACTGTCAGGTCAACTGCCCCACCCCTCCTCAGACCATATGAAGCTATAAAGGCCCCTGCAGCTCTTTCACAACAGAGAAAGAGGCAACTACATTGCCTGGAGGAAGCCTAAGGAACCCAGGCATCCAGCTGCCCACGCCTGAGTCCAAGATTCTTCCCAGGAACACAAACGTAGGAGACCCACGCTCCTGGAAGCACCAGCCTTTATCTCTTCACCTTCAAGTCCCCTTTCTCAAGAATCCTCTGTTCTTTGCCCTCTAAAGTCTTGGTACATCTAGGACCCAGGCATCTTGCTTTCCAGCCACAAAGAGACAGATGAAGATGCAGAAAGGAAATGTTCTCCTTATGTTTGGTCTACTATTGCATTTAGAAGCTGGTGAGTGATTTTATTTAAAATCGGGTGGTCTGAGAACCTTTGAGGAGTTGGGAGAGAAATGTGACCACTACTGGGGCCAGCTCTGCTTCTCTTCCATAGAGTGAGGATCATCATTTTACTCGAATCACTTCAGCCTAACAAGGTATGTCATGCAGGAAGCAGTCAGACACAGTGGTTAAAATTGGGCTCTGGTCTCACATTGCCTACATTTGAATTATGGCTCCATCTATTAACTGTGTACTTTAGGTCAGTTGCTTCTCTGCGCCTCGATTTCTGCATCTGTAAAATGGTAACAACCTGTGTAATATGGTTGGGGTTTTAAATATTAAGAACAAGAAGAGTCGGCTGCTTTTAAAATGTCACTCTTCTGGCGGGGTGCGGTGGCTCATGCCTTTAATCCCAGCACTTCGGGAGGGTGAGGCAGGCAGGTCATTGAGGTCAGAAGTTCAAGACCAGCCTAGCTAATGTGGCAAAACCCTGTCTCTACTAAAAATACAAAAATTAGCTGAGTGTGTTGGCTTGTCCCTGTACTCCCAGCTACTCAGGAGGCTGAGGCAGGAAAATCGCTTGAACCCGGGAGGCGGAGGTTGCAGTGAGCCAAGATGGTGCCACTGCACTCCAGCCTGGGTGACGGAGTGAGACTCTGTCTCAAAAAAATAAAATAATAAAATAAGGCCAGGCTCAGTGGCTCACGCCTGTAATCTCAGCACTTTGGGAGGCCAAGGCGGGTGGATGTCTTGAGGCCAGGAGTTTCAGACCAGCCTGGCCAACATGGTGAAACTCCATCTCTACTAAAAGTACAAAAATTAGCCTGGCGGGGTGGCTTATGCCTGTAATCCTAGCTACTCAGGAGGCTGAGGCAGGAGAATCGCTTGAACCTGGGAGGCGGATGTTGCAGTGAGCTGAGATTGCTCCACTATACTCCAGCCTGGGCGGCAGAGCAAGACTCCGTCTCAAAAACAAATAAATAAATAAGCAATAAAATAAAATAAAATAAAATAAAATAAAATAAAATAAAATAAAATACCACTCTTCTATATTCTACAAACTCAATTTCTCTCCTACCCCTACACCTAATTCCACGTCAGCTTCCCACGTACAGGCTGGGGAGGTTGAATGTCTTCATCCTTCTGGGAAATCAAGGGCAAAAATTTGACATAACCTTAACTCCAGCCAAGCCTCCAAGAAGTTAAAAGCCTTCCCTCTACCTTTAGACGTTGGTTTACAGCCCTTATTCCTGGGAGCTCTTATGTATTTGAGCTACATATAACTCGTTCTTCTCTAGCCTTGGCCATAGTGATCAAGGGCCCCTGGAACTTGAATGCATATAGTCACCTGGCTTCTTGTTGTACATGCAGACTCCTGGGCCCCATCTCAAATTCTAATTCATTTAGTCTGGAATGATTTGCTTAAGAATATTTTCAACATGCTCCCTTAAGTAATTCTGATATAAGTGTGTTCTGAATATTATTCTGAGAAATATTTTCCAAGAAGGAAGCAATACTACTTAAGAAAAAAATTGATCAGTATATACTAGTTTCACCTAGTCCTATAATTCTTTTATAATACTTTATATCTGTATTGTATCTTGCATAGCAGAATGTGGAAAAAGGTTAGCTACCAGTGAAACTAGATGATGTAACTCTGGCATTGTGGGTGGGTGGTTGACTTAGCTTAGTCTCCACAAGTGCAGATTTAGTAGCCTGGGTTCAGTTTCCTGTTCCACCACTCACTAGCTGTGTAAACTTGGGCCAGTGTCAACTTTTTTTTATTTTTTATTTTTGAGACGGAGTTTTGCTCTTGGAACCCAGGCTGGAGTGCAATGGCTCGATCTCGACTCACCGCAACCTCTGCCTCCCGGGTTCAAGTGATTCTCCTGCCTCAGCCTCCCGAGTAGCTGGAATTAATGCCCGGCTAATTTTGTATTTTTAGTAGAGATGGGGTTTCTCCATGTTGGTCAGGCTGGTCTCGAACTCCGAACCTCAGGTGATCCGCCCACCTTGGCCTCCCAAAGTGCTGGGATTACAGGCGTGAGCCACCGTGCCCAGCCCAGTATCAACATTTTGAAGCCTCAATTTCTTCATCTCAGCTGGTGATAATAATAGCATCTATGTTATAGCACCATAGTGAGCATTAAATAAAATTATGTAATGAATTTAGCCAAGCAATAAGCAGAAAGTATATATACACAATATATATTTGTCATTATATGATTTCTTCAGCAACAAATTCCAATGAGACTAGCACCTCTGCCAACACTGGATCCAGTGTGATCTCCAGTGGAGCCAGCACAGCCACCAACTCTGGGTCCAGTGTGACCTCCAGTGGGGTCAGCACAGCCACCATCTCAGGGTCCAGCGTGACCTCCAATGGGGTCAGCATAGTCACCAACTCTGAGTTCCATACAACCTCCAGTGGGATCAGCACAGCCACCAACTCTGAGTTCAGCACAGCGTCCAGTGGGATCAGCATAGCCACCAACTCTGAGTCCAGCACAACCTCCAGTGGGGCCAGCACAGCCACCAACTCTGAGTCCAGCACACCCTCCAGTGGGGCCAGCACAGTCACCAACTCTGGGTCCAGTGTGACCTCCAGTGGAGCCAGCACTGCCACCAACTCTGAGTCCAGCACAGTGTCCAGTAGGGCCAGCACTGCCACCAACTCTGAGTCTAGCACACTCTCCAGTGGGGCCAGCACAGCCACCAACTCTGACTCCAGCACAACCTCCAGTGGGGCTAGCACAGCCACCAACTCTGAGTCCAGCACAACCTCCAGTGGGGCCAGCACAGCCACCAACTCTGAGTCCAGCACAGTGTCCAGTAGGGCCAGCACTGCCACCAACTCTGAGTCCAGCACAACCTCCAGTGGGGCCAGCACAGCCACCAACTCTGAGTCCAGAACGACCTCCAATGGGGCTGGCACAGCCACCAACTCTGAGTCCAGCACGACCTCCAGTGGGGCCAGCACAGCCACCAACTCTGACTCCAGCACAGTGTCCAGTGGGGCCAGCACTGCCACCAACTCTGAGTCCAGCACGACCTCCAGTGGGGCCAGCACAGCCACCAACTCTGAGTCCAGCACGACCTCCAGTGGGGCTAGCACAGCCACCAACTCTGACTCCAGCACAACCTCCAGTGGGGCCGGCACAGCCACCAACTCTGAGTCCAGCACAGTGTCCAGTGGGATCAGCACAGTCACCAATTCTGAGTCCAGCACACCCTCCAGTGGGGCCAACACAGCCACCAACTCTGAGTCCAGTACGACCTCCAGTGGGGCCAACACAGCCACCAACTCTGAGTCCAGCACAGTGTCCAGTGGGGCCAGCACTGCCACCAACTCTGAGTCCAGCACAACCTCCAGTGGGGTCAGCACAGCCACCAACTCTGAGTCCAGCACAACCTCCAGTGG
Source organism: Homo sapiens (assembly GCF_000001405.40). NCBI lineage: Eukaryota > Metazoa > Chordata > Mammalia > Primates > Hominidae > Homo > Homo sapiens. The sequence goes on from NT_167246.2 coordinate 2,297,671, forward strand.
GGCTAGCACAGCCACCAACTCTGACTCCAGCACAACCTCCAGTGAGGCCAGCACAGCCACCAACTCTGAGTCTAGCACAGTGTCCAGTGGGATCAGCACAGTCACCAATTCTGAGTCCAGCACAACCTCCAGTGGGGCCAACACAGCCACCAACTCTGGGTCCAGTGTGACCTCTGCAGGCTCTGGAACAGCAGCTCTGACTGGAATGCACACAACTTCCCATAGTGCATCTACTGCAGTGAGTGAGGCAAAGCCTGGTGGGTCCCTGGTGCCGTGGGAAATCTTCCTCATCACCCTGGTCTCGGTTGTGGCGGCCGTGGGGCTCTTTGCTGGGCTCTTCTTCTGTGTGGTGAGTGCCTAATATGTAAGAAAATGCCTGGGGGAAGGAGCAGCAGAAACACAAGGAAATGGGTGTGAATAGAAGGGGTCTCAAGTCAGGGGTGGGTAGGGAGGAAGGGAGATCAGGAAAGAGTAACACAGAGACATGGTAGGTCAATGCAGAGGAAGCTGCTGACCTGCGGGAAAAGGGGGCCACAGAAAGGACTGGAGAAAGGAGAACTAGGTAAAGAGTATGGTTGGAAGTGGGAGAAGATTCCAGAAGGCGTACGTGGTAAAGGCGTGGGAGACAGGGATGCAATTCTGAAACTATTGACTCTTCTTTTTTTAGAGAAACAGCCTGTCCCTGAGAAACACCTTTAACACAGCTGTCTACCACCCTCATGGCCTCAACCATGGCCTTGGTCCAGGCCCTGGAGGGAATCATGGAGCCCCCCACAGGCCCAGGTGGAGTCCTAACTGGTTCTGGAGGAGACCAGTATCATCGATAGCCATGGAGATGAGCGGGAGGAACAGCGGGCCCTGAGCAGCCCCGGAAGCAAGTGCCGCATTCTTCAGGAAGGAAGAGACCTGGGCACCCAAGACCTGGTTTCCTTTCATTCATCCCAGGAGACCCCTCCCAGCTTTGTTTGAGATCCTGAAAATCTTGAAGAAGGTATTCCTCACCTTTCTTGCCTTTACCAGACACTGGAAAGAGAATACTATATTGCTCATTTAGCTAAGAAATAAATACATCTCATCTAACACACACGACAAAGAGAAGCTGTGCTTGCCCCGGGGTGGGTATCTAGCTCTGAGATGAACTCAGTTATAGGAGAAAACCTCCATGCTGGACTCCATCTGGCATTCAAAATCTCCACAGTAAAATCCAAAGACCTCATTCTTATCTGTGTGTCTGCATTTTCTAATCCTTTTTGCCCCAGGCAAGGTCCCTGTATCTCTGAGACACCCCGATTGGCTGGAGAATTGACTTGGGAGAGATAAGGAGGGAGGGCGGGTGCCAGCATGCTATGGGCTCCTGCGTGAGGCCTGTGGTACACAGAGATTAGGTTGTGATACATGAAGAGCCAAGAGCAGGATGAGGTGGAGGCGTTACAACTACCTGCTCTGTGTGTGGGGGGGGAGGGGGGAGGGGGGTACGCATATTCACTTGAAGTCGAGGTTCCCAGGGCATTTCCATGTGCTCCAGGCCTGACTACCCATCAGGGTGGAGGAGCTGGTGACACTCATCTCCCTGAGTGCTCCCTGGTTTCCCAAGGGAAAGACTTTCTGGCCTGCTGAGGTCGAATCTTCCAAGAGGCTCTTGCAAAGACCCGAGATTCTCATAAATCCCTGCCCAGAAGAGCTGCACGTATCCCTTTCATGAGTCCAGGGAAGAGGGTCCTCCAGGTCTTGGAAGACAGAGGGGAGCTGCTTTAGAGGCTAAGTTGCTTTGAGCCCACAAGGTAATGGAGGGCTCCTACTTGGGACAGAGCCCTCAGCAGAGAATTAGCAGTCTGTTGGTGGGTTCACCCCAACTCACAGCAGTAGAAACTGCTCCATCTTCCACCACTTATTGGGTTTCTCCAGTGTCAGCAAACCAAAGAATTGGATCTTACCAATGCGGCTATAGGAAAACAGCCTGTTGCATGGTAAGAGTGATACCATCTTGAAGTGAAACCACCACAATGGCCATTTTTTTTTTAGATGGAGTTTTGCAGTGGTGCAATCATAGCTCATTGCAGCCTTCAATTCCTGGGCTCAGGCAATCCTCCTGCCTCAGCCTCCTGAGTAGCTGGGACTACAGTTTCGTGTGCCACCATGCCTGGCTAATTTTTAGAATTTTTTGTAGGGACAGGGCCTCACTCTGTTGCACAAGCTGGTCTTGAACTCCTGGCCTCCTTGAACTCCTCCTGCCTTCGCCTCCCAAAGTGCTGAGATTACAGGTGTGAGCCACTGCACCTCGCCAGATGTCCAATGTCTGACTCCTGCATACCAAGGTGTTCTGTATCAAGGGCTTTAAAACAATGCCTGTAGCGTAATTAACCTCTCACAAAGATGCTTATCTAACCTCCCCAGCAGTCATGGGTTTCAGCAAGAAAGTCTGTGATGTGACCAGTTGCACATGTTTTCCCCTAAAAGCTTACTCTAGAAAGGATATTTTTTGGAGAGGGAGTGTGGGAATCCACCATCTTGTGGCCACCTCAGACATCACTTCTCTTTGGAAGACTCCATTAAATATTTCTCTGTGAGAAACTGGATTTGTCAGTCTCTTTCTTTGATCTCTTTTCCCCTCAAAATTTAGGGGTAGGTTTGTGTAGACCTGTTCATGGTAGAACATTTGGTGATCCCCCAGCCAGTAGCTGGGAGAACAAGGAATGGGTAAGGAGAATGAAGCATCTGTAAGGAAACCCCAGGGCGGCAGCCACGTCTGTGTAGGGTTGGATGGCACAACTGTTCGATACCTGTGTACCTCTGTGTGAGTGCAGGGATGCCTTGAAAATGCCAGGTGGCCTAGAGCAGTTATTAACTGAAAGCCGCATAGTGCACTGGGGTACGGAAGGTCGGCCAATAGCCACTGCAGAGGGTTGGGTGCTTCTTTTGGCAATGAAGATCCGGCTAGCAGCAGAAGCCAAAATTAAATGTCTAGAGAAGGAATTGCAACTAGAAAAAGACGTGTACCTCTCCATGTCTCTCCTCACATCCAACTTAGCAAACAAAATTGAAGACCAAGAGACAAAAATTGAAATGTTAGCATGTAGATTTGTCCACCTAGGGCGAAAGATATGGAAATGACCAAAAATCAGAGCTCTCATGAGAAAGCCCAACTGGGATGTGAAAACTTGGAATCCCTGGGATTGTTATGAAGAGGAAGACTGATGACATAGAAGTCACAGGTGTGGAGGGGGATGGGGATCATTGGCAAGCTCGCTGTCTCATGCAAAGGAAAGTGAAACCTAACATTGGCAGCAAAACGGGGGTCAGCTGATACAGGAGACTCTCACTGTCAGGGAACCTACCGCTGCAGAACTCTTAGAGATTGCAAAGGCCTTTAAACAACTACCGAGGGAATCCCTGGCTGCTTGGATGGTCTGATTGTGGGACACAGGGGCTGATGATATTTCCTTAACAGGAGAAGCAGAAAAAATGAGTAACATCACCACCCATGCAGCCCTGCAGAAGCATCTTTGCTAAGGCAAGGCAGACGCAAGGGAGTCATAGCTTATGGACTGGCTCATTCTAGCTATGAGGGAGGCTTGACCTAATGAGGGAAATTTACCGGGAAGGATGACCTCCTGGCAGTCAACAGAAAAGGCCCAAGGGCTTCTCCAAGAATTAGGAATGAGTCAAGTCATCTATGTTTGGGTTCTCACAGGACTTAAAACAGTTTTTTCCTGCAGGGATGAAAAATAAATTGCTGAAGGGTGCACCAGGAGAATGGCACAACCCTTGGCTCATGTTATTGAGTCCTATAAATGGGACAAGAAGTATATGATGTGGGAAGGCCAGGCACAGGGGCTCACACCTGTAATTCCAGCAATTTGAGAGGCCGAGGCAGGCGAATTACTTGAGATCGGGAGTTCGAGACAAGCCTGGACAATATGGTGAAACCCCATCTCTACTAAAAATACAAAAATTAGCTAGGTGGTGTGCCTGTAACCCCAGCTACTTGGGAGGCTGAGGTAGGAGAATTGCTTGAACTCAGGAGGCAGAAGTTGCAGTCAGCTGAGATTGGGGCACTGCACTCCAGCCTGGGCAACAGAGTGAGACCCCGTCTCAAAAAAAAAAAAAGGGCTGGGCACGGTGGCTCATGCCTGTAATCCCAGCACTTTGGGAGGCCGAAGTGGATGGATCACCTGAGGTCAGGAGTTCAAGACCAGCCTGGTCAACATGGTGAAATTCCTTCTCTACTAAAAATACAAAATTAGCCGGGCATGGTGACAGGCGCCTGTAATCCCAGCTACTTGGGAGGCTGAGGCAGGAGAATAGCTTGAACGTGGGAGGCGGAGGTTGCAGTGAGCCGAGATCGTGCCATTGCACTCCAGCCTGAGCAACAACAGCGAAACTTCGTCTTAAAAAAAAAAAAAAAAAAAGATGTATATGACGTAGGAGAAGCCATCACAGATTTGGGAGCTACTGAGAAAGCTAGGGACGGGGTGTGCTTTGTAACCCGGCAAGGGCTGACAAAGGGGAAAGATAATGCTCCACAGGAAGAAGGGGGAAAATAAGGGAAAGCGACCAACTAGAGTCAAGAACAGGCAAATGTGGCATGACTTATTGGGAGCAGAAAAATTCTGAGAAAAAAATATGTAAAAAATGTTAAAATATGGAAAATATGAAAAATGCTGTGTTAGTAGCCTTATGGAGGGAAGTACAGACTGAAGGGCTGTTTTGTCCCTTCATTTCTGCCCCTCTAGCAGAAGAGGAAGATGACTCAACCCCTCATTCTAATACTCCAGCCTATCAGAGGGGGATTCCATGCTGGGCCCAAGATTAGCAGTGGGACCAAGGTCAACCCCACGTTGCAGGTGACCAGAGGCCCCATATTGAGCTCACCATTTACTGTTCCTCTCAAAAAAATAAGGAGAAGACTATTTCCTTAGTAGATACTAGGGCAGAATATACTTTAATTCATGGAAATCCATAAATACACCCTGGTCAATGGTCTGCCATCACTGGTTATGGGGACAAACGATCTGGATGAGAAGGACTTTAATACATCTAGGTATTGGGGAAGCTCCCCTGCCCCATATGTGGTGTTTATTTTTCTTATTCCAGAAAACATTTTAGGCACAGGTATTCTGTTAGGAAAGACTTAGCAAACTTCAGCGGAAAAATTCAGATCGAAGGTGCATGTAGTGAAGACTGTTTTTTTTTTTTTTTTTTTCTTTTTCTTCTTTCTTTTTATTTATTTATTTATTTATTTATTTATTTATTTATTTTTTATTGATCATTCTTGGGTGTTTCTCGCAGAGGGGGATTTGGCAGGGTCATAGGACAATAATGGAGGGAAGGTCAGCAGATAAACAAGTGAACAAAGGTCTCTGGTTTTCCTAGGCAGAGGACCCTGAGGCCTTCCGCAGTGTTTGTGTCCCTGGGTACTTGAGATTAGGGAGTGGTGATGACTCTTAACGAGCATGCTGCCTTCAAGCATCTGTTTAACAAAGCACATCTTGCACCGCCCTTAATCCATTTAACCCTGAGTGGACACAGCACATGTTTCAGAGAGCACAGGGTTGGGGGTAAGGTCACAGATCAACAGGATCCCAAGGCAGAAGAATTTTTCTTAGTACAGAACAAAATGAAAAGTCTCCCATGTATACTTCTTTCTACACAGACACAGCAACCATCCGATCTCTCAATCTTTTCCCCACCTTTCCCCCCTTTCTATTCCACAAAACCGCCATCGTCATCATGGCCCATTCTCAATGAGCTGTTGGGTACACCTCCCAGACGGGGTGGTGGCCTGGCAGAGGGGCTCCTCACTTCCCAGTAGTGGCGGCCGGTCAGAGGCGCCCCTCACCTCCCGGACGGGGCAGCTGGCCGGGCGGGGGGCTGACCCCCCCACCTCCCTCCCGGACGGGTTGGCTGCCGGGCGGAGGGGCTCCTCACTTCTCAGACGGGGCGGCTGCCGGGCGGAGGGGCTCCTCACTTCTCAGACGGGGCGGTTGCCAGGCAGAGGGTCTCCTCACTTCTCAGACGGGGCGGCCGGGCAGAGACGCTCCTCACCTCCCAGACGGGGTCGCGGCCGGGCAGAGGCGCTCCTCACATCCCAGACGGGGCGGCGGGGCAGAGGCGGTCCCCACATCTCAGACGATGGGCGGCCGGGCAGAGACGCTCTTCACTTCCTAGATGTGATGGCGGCCGGGAAGAGGTGTTCCTCACTTCCTAGATGGGATGGCGGCCGGGCTGAGACGCTCCTCACTTTCCAGACTGGGCAGCCAGGCAGAGGGGCTCCTCACATCCCAGACGATGGGCGGCCAGGCAGAGACGCTCCTCACTTCCCAGACGGGGTGGCGGCCGGGCAGAGGCTGCAATCTCGGCATTTTGGGAGGCCAAGGCAGGCGGCTGGGAGGTGGAGGTTGTAGCGAGCCGAGATCACGCCACTGCACTCCAGCCTGGGCACCATTGAGCACTGAGTGAACGAGACTCCCGTCTGCAATCCCGGCACCTCGGGAGGCCGAGGCTGGCGGATCACTCGCGGTTAGGAGCTGGAGACTGGCCCGGCCAACACAGCGAAACCCCGTCTCCACCAAAAAAAATACGAAAACCAGTCAGGCGTGGCGGCGCGTGCCTGCAATCGCAGGCACTCCGTGAAGACTGTTCTTGAGAGAGGAAGAAAATGGGAGCCCCTACAACTTCCTGCCCCTACATGGCGTTGTCAACATTAAATGATTCATATTGTCCAGGGGGTATGCTGAAATAAGTGCAATTATTATCCTCCCAATAAGTGCAACTATTATCCATCCAGCACAAAGCCCATGAAAGAGTCTTGTCTTTTTTCGCATTCCCGTCTTTTCTTCTAGTTTTGTTATCTTGTTGGCATTATGTCAGCCGCTGAAGCTTTTACTGTGCTGCAGCCATGGCTTTTCTTTTTTTAACTTTTATTTTAAGTTCGGGGGTTCATATGCAGGTTTGTTACATAAGTAAATGTGTGTCATGGGGGTTTTTTTGTACAGGTTATTTCGTCACCCAGCTATTAAGCCTAGTACCCATTAGTTATTTTTCCTGATCCTCTCCCTCCTCCCACCCTCCACCCTCTGATAGGCCCCAGTGGGTGTTGTTCCCCTCTATGTGTCCCTGTGTTCTCATCATTTAGCTTCTACTTATAAGCGAGAACATGCGGTATTTGGTTTTCTGTTCCTGCATTAGTTTGCTAAGAATAATGGCCTCCAGCTCCATCCATGTCCCTGCAAAGGACATGATCTTGTTCTTTTTGTATGACTGCATAGTAGTCCATGATGTATATATACCACATTTTCTTTATCCAGTCTATCGCTGATGGGCATTTAGGTTGATTCCATGTCTTTGCTATTGTGAATACCACTGCAATGAACACATGCATGCATTTTTTTTTTTTTTTGAGATGGAGTTTTGCTCTTGTTGCCGAGGCTAGAGTGCAATGGTGCGATCTCAGCTCACTGCAACCTCTGCCTCCCGGGATCAAGCGATTCTCCTGCCTCAGCCACCCCAGTAGCTGGGATTACAGGCATGTGGCGCCACGCCCATATAATCTTGTATTTTTAGTAGAGACAGGGGTTTCTCCATATTGGTCAGCCTGGTCTCGAACTCCTGACCTCAGGTGATCCACCTGCCTCAGCCTCCCAAAGTGATGGGATTACAGGCATGAGCCACCGTGCCTGGCCACGTCCATGTGCTTTTATAACAGAATGATTTATATTCCTTTGGGTATATACCCAGTAATGGGATTGCTGGATCAGATGGTATCTGTCTTTAAGTCTTTGAAGAATCACCACAGTGTCTTCCACAATGACTGAACTAATTTATACTCCCACCAACAGTGTATAAGCATTCTTTTTTCTCCACAACCTCGCCAGCATCTTTTATTTTTTGACTTTTTAATAATAGCTGTTCTGACTGGCGTGAGATGATATCTTATTGTGGGTTTTTGTTTGTTTGTTTTGAGATGGAGTTTTGCTCTTATTGCCCAGGCTGGAGTGCAATGGCACGATATCATTGTGGTTTTGATATGCGTTTCTCTAATAATCAATGATGTTTAGCTTTTTAAAATATGTTTGTTGGCCACATGTATGTCTTCTTTTGGGAAGTGTCTGTTCATGTCCTTTGTCCACTTTTTGATGGAATTGTTTGCTTTTTTAAAATAAATTTGTTTAAGTTCCTTATAGATGCTGAATATGAGCCCTTTGTCAGATGCATAGTTTGCAAAAATTTTCTCCCATTCTGTAGGTTGTCTGTTTACTCTGTTGATAGTTTCTTTTGCTGTGCAGAAGCTCTTTCGTTTAGTTAAATCCCATTTTCAATTTTTCCTTTTGTTGCAATTGCTTTCAGAATCTTCGTCATGAAATTTTTGCCCATGCCTATGTCCTGAATGGTATTACCTAGGTTGTCTTCCAGGGTTTTATAGTTTTGGGTTTTACATTTAAGTCTTTAATCCATCGTGAGTTAATTTTTGTGTAAGGTGTAAAGAAGGGGTCCAGTTTGAATTGTTTGCATATGGCTAGCCTGTTATCCCAGCACCGTTTATTGAACAGGGAATTCTTTCCCCATTGTTTGCTTTCGTCAGGTTTGTTGAAGATCAGATAGTCGTGGGTGCGTGGTCTTATTTCTGTGTTTTCTATTCTGTTCCACTGGTGTATGTGTCTGTTCTTGTACCAGTACCATGTTGTTTTGGTTTGCAGTAATGTCTTATGGTATTGGGTGCTCATCTATGGAATGGAGATGGGCCATCAATCCTCAGAAGATGCAAGGCCCAGAGCCCACAGTGAAGATTTTTTGTTTGTTTGTTTTGTTTTGTTTTGAGGCGGAGTCTCGCTCTGTCACCCAGGCTGGATTGCAATGGTGCGACCTTGTCTCACTGCCACCTCCGCCTCCTGGGTTCAAGCGATTCTCCTGCCTCAGCCTCCCGAGTAACTGGGACTACAGGCACCTGCCACCATGCCCAGCTAACTTTTGTATTTTTAGTAGAGATGGGGTTTCACCATAT